>NW_003315966.2:0-128386 GCF_000001405.40 Homo sapiens | reverse complement strand
GATCCACCCGCCTCAGCCTCCCAAAGTGCTGGGATTACAGGCATGAGCCACTGCATCCAGCCAGCATTTATCCTTTCTTTGTGTTACAAACAATCCAGTTATACTCTTAGTTGTCTTTAAATGTATAATATACTATTGTTGACTGCTGTCAGTTTGTTGTGCTATCAAATATTAGATCTTATTTATTCTATCTAACTATATTTTTGTATCCGTTAACCATCCCCACTCTACCCCCACCCCACTACCCTTCCCAGCCTCTGGTAACCATCCTTTTACTCTCTATCACCATGAGTTCAATTGTTGTAATATTTAGCTCCCACAAATAAGTGAGGACATGTGAAGTTTGTCTTTCTGTGCATGGCTTGTTTCACTTAACATAAGAACCTCCAGTTCCGTTCATGTTGTTGCAAATGACAGGATCTCATTCTTTTTTATGGCAGAATGGTACTCCATTGTGTATATGTACCACATTTTCTTTATCCAATCATCTGTTGATGGACACTTAGGTGGCTTCCAAATCTTGGCTATTGTGAACAGAGCTGCAACAAACATGGAAGTGCAGATATCCTTTCATTATGCTGATTTCCTTTTTTGGGGGTATATTTTTAGCAGTGGAATTGCTGGATCATATGGTAGTTCTATTTTTAGTTTTTTGAGGAACCTCCAAGCTGTTCTCCCTAGTGGCTGTACTAATTTACATTCCCACCAACAGTGTACAAGGGTTCCCTTTTCTCCACATCCTTGACAGCATTTGTTATTGCCTGTCCAAAAGACAAAAGCCATTTTAACTGGGGTGAGATGACCTCTCATTGTAGTTTTGATTTGCATCTCTCTGATGACCGATAATGTTGAGCACCTTTCAATATGCCTGTTTGCCATCTGTATGTTTTCTTTTGAGAAATGTCTATTCAGATCTTTTGCCCATTTTTGGTTGGATTATTAGATTTTTTTCTATAGACTGGTTTGAGCTCCTTATATGTCCTGGCTATTAATTCTTTGCCAGATGGATAGTTTGCAGATATTTTCTCCTATTCTGTGGGTTGTTTCTTTATTTTGTTGATTGTTTCCTTTGCTGTGCAGAAGCTTTTTAACTTGATGTGGTTTGTCCATGTTTGCTTTAGTTGTCTGTGCTTGTGGGGTATTATTCAAGAAATCTTTGCTCAGTCCAAAGTCCTGGAGAGATTTTTTCCCAATGTTTTCTTTTAATAGTGTCATAGTTTCAGGTCTTAGATTTAAGTCTTTAATACGTTTTGATTTGATTGTTGTATATGGCAAGAGATAGGGGTCTAGTTTCATTCTTCTGCATATGGATATCCAGTTTTCCCAGCACTATTTATTGAAGAGACTGTCCTTTCCTCAATGTATGTTCTTGGTACCTTTGTAAAAAATGAGTTCACTGTAGATGTATGGGTTTTTTCCTGGGTTCTCCATTGTTTTCTGTTGGTCTACGTGTCAGTTTTTATGCCAGTGCTGTGCTGTTTTGGTTACTATAGCTCTGTAATATAACTGGAAGTCAGGTTATGTGATTCCTCCAGTTTTGTTCTTTTTGCTGAGGATATCTTTGGATACTCTGGGTCTTTGTGGTTCCATATATATTTTAGGATTTTTTTTTCTATTTCTGTGAAGAATGTCATTGTTATTTTGATAGGGATTGTATTGAATCTATAGATTGCTTGGGATAGTATGAACATTTTGACAATATTGGTTATTTCAATTCATGAACATGTAATATCTTTTCATTTTTTGGTGTCTTCAATTTCTTTCATTAAGATTTTGTAGTTTTCATTGTAGAGCTCTTTCACTTCTTTGGTTAAGTTATTTCCTAGGTATTTTATTTCATTGGTAACTATTGTAAATGGAATTACTTTCTGGATTTCTTTTACAGATTGTTTGCTGTTGGCATATAGAAATGCTACTGATTTTTGTATGTTTTTTTTGTATCCTGCAACTTTACTGAATTTATCAATTCTAATAGTTTTTGTTGATGGATATTTTTTGTTTGTTTGTTTCTTGTTTTTTGTTTGAGACGGAGTTTTGCTCTTGTTGCCTAGGCTGGAGTGCAATAGCGCCATATTAGCTCACTGCAACCTCCACCTCCAGGTTCAAGCAATTCTCCTGCCTCAGCCTTTCAAGCAGCTGGGATTACAGGCACCCGCCACCACACCCAGCCAATTGTTTGTATGTTTAGTAGAGATGGGGTTTCACTGTGTTGGCCAGACTGGTCTTGAACTCCTGACCTCAGATGATCCACCCACCTCGGCCTCTCAAAGTGCTGGGATTACAGGTGTGAGCCACCATGCCTGGCTGATATTTACTTTTTTAAACATTTAATTGTTATTTTTGTAAAAATAGAGATGAGGTCTCACTGTATTGCCCAGGCTGATCTCCAATTCCTGAGCTAGAGTGATCCTCCAGCCTTGGCTTCCCAAAATGCTGGAATTACAGGTGTGAGCCACCACACCTGACCTGTTGATGGATATTTAGTTTGCTTCCACCTTGTGACTATTGTGAATAATGCTGCAGTGAACATAGGTATGGAAATATCTCTTCAAAATCCTATTTTTAATTCTTTTAGTTATATACTTAGAAATGGGATTGCTGGATCATGCAGTAGTTTTAGTTTTAATCCCCTACCTGTATTTCCTGGATTCATCACCCAAATAAACTATATGCTCCAAGCCTTTGTCTCGGTATGTGCTTCTGGCAGGAACCTAAGCTTAAGCTTGTCACTTGCTTCAGGTTACTCAGTCAATAAGTGGCTCTTCTGAATATCTATTGCTGTAAAATGAGCTGTCCCCAAATCCAGTGGCTTAAAACAACACTTCGCAATTACTTCTGCTTCTGTGAATTGGCTGGGCTCAGCTGGGTGGCTTTCACTTGGGGTCTGCCATGGCTGCAGTCAGGTGTTGGCTGGGGCTGGAGGGTCTGAAGGCTCGACTGGGCTGGAGGCCCACAGTGGCTCACTTGCACACTGGCCATTGATGGCAGGAAGCTCAGCTGAGGCAGTCTGCCAGAACTTCTGCAAGGGGTCTCTTCATGTGGTGAGGGCTTCCTCACAACATGGTGGCTGAGTTCTGAGCGTAGAGTCTCAAGAACAAACATTCCAAGAGACAGGAACAGGCAACTGTTAAGGGCCTTGTCTTTAAATGGCAGTGTCACTTGTGCCATATGCATTTTAGAGCGGGGTGAAGAAATGGACCCCCTGGTGGGATGGGGCAAGGCCATGCTGCAGAAGAGCATGTGGGAAGGGAGAGATTTTTGTGGCCATCTTTGGAAGACACAGTTGGCCATAGTGACAGAGGCAGTATTCAGACCCAGGCAGTCTGACTTGAGAAGCTGATTGCAACCTCTATGCTGCCTCCACTTGAGAACACATTCTGAGAATTCTTGACGTTTCTAAGGGACTGGAGAGCCAGCAATAATGGCAAACCTAAGAAATGCTATTTTTGTTTATTATGACCTCTTTTTAATGTCCAGACTGATGTGGCTGGGTGAATTACAGGTCTCAAGCAGATTCCAAAATGTAGAGACAGTAACCTTGATGTTGACTTTTGGAAAATTATAGAGCAGAGCGTGACATAAACTCATTTGTGAACAGCAGGGAAAAAAAATGCAGTGATGGTGAGGTGGGAGAGTTTGGTGGGGATGAGCTGTGCCCAGCTGTGGTGGGTGGCATAATGGCCCCCTAGAGATATCAGGTCCTAACCCTTGGAGCCTATAAATGTTACCCTGTAAGAAAAATGGGTCTTTGCAGAAGTGAGTAAGAATCTTGAGATAAGAGATTATCCTGGACTCTCCTGTGGGCCCTAAATGCCATCACAAGTGTCCATATAAGACAGAGTTAGACTTGACTCACACTCAGAGAAGAAAGCCATGTGAAGACAGAGAAGAGAAGGATTTGAAGACACTGGATGTGAGAATTAGAGTGATGTGGCCATAAGCCAAGGAATGCTGTAGCTCCCAGAAGCTGGAAGAGGCAAGGAACAGTTTCTCTCCTAAAGCCTCCAGAGGGAGCACAGCCCCACTGATGGATTGATTTCAGTTTGGTGGCACTGATTTCAGACTTCTGGTCTCCAGGACTGTGAGGTAATAAATTTCTGTTGTTTTAAGACCAAAAGTTCATGGTAATTATAGCAACCACAGGCAACGAATACACAAACCAACTTTCTTTTTAGACAGTACTGGATAATGGGGTAAATAAATTTGTGTCCAGCCAGCATTTTATGTTACTGTTTTTTTTTGTTTTTTGTTTTTTGTTTTTTTGTGAGACAGGGTCTTGCTATGTTGTTTATGCCAATCTCGAACACCTGGGCCCCAGTGATCCAGTCTCAGCCTCCTGAGTAGCTGGGACTACAGGCATAGGCCACCACCCCCAGCCGGCATTTTAATAAAGGATTGGCAAACTCACTGGTAATGACGGTGTTTTTTGGTGGGATTTATGGCAGATTGCACGTCTATCAGCAAAGTGTTTGCCATCAAGGAGTCCGTTGCCCTGGTGGTCATGGAGTACCAAAGGGCTCTGTGGTGAGCTCTGCCCTAGCCAATCAACGTTCAGTCCACTTTCTGGATGAAGATGGCAGAAAGTACAGGGTCAGATGTGCAGGTGACACATATTGGAGGGAACAGTGAAAGTGACAGCCAAATGGGAGATGAAAGTGATTTCGATAGATTGGAACTTTGGAGTAAGGCCAAGATCAATTGATATCAGAGAAAGTTAGGTTTTAAAGAGAAATCTGGTGTCCAAGCATAGAACCAGTTGAGGAGGTCTGGGCGGTCTGGGCGGTGTGTGTGAAAAGAAGCTCAGGGTTTCAGTCGCCACCAGCGTGGTGCTGTTTTTGTAAGGGGAACCTAATTTGGGGCACTATGGGACGATAGTGTCCAGTTCATAGAAGCAGATGGTCCCAGGGTGATCACGGCTGGTTGAAGCATACTGAACTACTTTGCTTCATTTTTAATACCCCTCCCCTTTTTGAAAATGTGTAGCAGGACAATATGGGATCAGGAAACCAAGTGTTCTGACTCTGCATTGTCTGCCCCTCCGTGTTCATTCTCTGACCTCCTCTACTCTGACCCCAGGAGGCTGACCTCTCTGGACGAATATTAGCTAGCTAATGCTGTGGAACAAATCATCCCGTGGAACAAAACATAGTGGCCTAAAGCAACAATAATCATTTAATGTCTCACAGTTTCTGTGGGTTGGGAATCCAGGAGTGGCTTCTGACTCATGAGGTTGGCATCAAGATGCAGCTGGGTTTGTAGTCACCTGAAGGCGTGGCTGGGGCTGGAGATGGCTTCCCACCACGGATGATGAGTTCGTGTGGCTGTTGGCAGGAGGCCTCAGTTTTTCACCTTCTGGACGCCTGCACAGGGCTGCTTAAGCAGCCTCACAACATGGCAGCTGACTCTCGCCATCGTGAGTGATTCAAGAGAGAGCAAGATGGAAGCCGCAATATCTATGATGACCTGGTCACAGTCTGTCATTTCCACAACTGGTAACACAGGTCAGCCCTATTTAATGTGGGAGGGGACTACATGAGGGCAGGATTGCCAGGAGGTGGGGTGCATCTGGAAGGCTGGCTGCCACAGGAACAGTGGGAGGGGATGTGCTGTGGCCAGAAGAAAATCAGGACAGACCAGAGCTGGAGGGTATGATCTGCCCCAACTCAGGTTGGCCAAGTTCAAGCCCCAGTTCCGGGATGGAGAGCTCCATGCCTTGGCCCTGCCAGTGGGACTTCTGCATGTGCTGGGAGAGAAGAAAGGTTTCCTTTGAGCCCTGCCAGGATCTTGTTACAGTCTCCACAGAGCAAGACTTCAGGGTCAGGGTGTTGCATTATGAAGACAGGAGCCGTGGAGCCTCCAGCAGGAGACAATGGCTTCCATTGAGATAATATGACTTAACGAGGCCACAAGTCCACAGCCACCACTCAGGAAACAATAACCATTTCAAGAGGGCACAGGAGGTGTTACAGAGAGGCGTGGTGACACACCCCACCCACCGTGGCCTCAGAGATGGTGCTAAGGGAGAAAGTTTGCTGGGATTTGTCTGAAAAGGTCAGTTATTAAAAACAGCTTCTGGCTGGGCGCGCTGGCTCACACCTATAATCCTACCAGTTTGGGAGGCCGAGGTGGGCGGATCACTTGTGGCCAGGAGTTCAAGACAACGCTGGCCAACATGGTGAAACCCTGTTTCTAATAAAAATACAAAAATTAGCTGGGTGCGGTGGCATGTGCCTGTAATCCCAGCTACTCAGGAGGCTGAGGCAGGAGAATCGCTTGAATCCGGGAGGCAGAGGTTGCGGTGAGCCAAGATCATACCACTGCACTCCAGCCTGGGTGACAGGGCAAGACTCTGTCTCTAAATAAATAAATAAATAAAACAGCCTCTTAAAAACACAGCGGCTTCTGACCTTCATGCACTTTGTTATTGCTCAGGCCAGGGTGGTGCTTTCCTGATTCCTTTTCCGAGTTTATGAAGGCACCGTTACTGCTTAGCATCAGGTGAGAAGAGAGGGGTACATTAGGAATTAGAAGAAGAAGGTTTGAGCATGACTTGTTTGAAACAGTCATGTGGGTCTCTCTCTGTTTCCCTGATGTCTGTCTTTGAGATCTTGTATCCAGCAGAGCGCTGGCTGACATCCTGTCCCAGGAGCAGAGAGTGCTATGTGTGGGTCCAGCCATTTGTCTGCTGGCAGGGGACTGGGGATGGGCTTGGGCCTTGCAGTTGAGCAGAATCCCACCCTCCACCACTGGGCCCTGGGGCTGGGCTTCTTGGTGTCATACCTGGAATTAGTATCAGTGAAGTACTACTCTGCCACGATGTCTCACAGCCAGGACGCGGAGAGCACAGAAAAATCCCCAAAGAAGGACCTCCCTTGGAAGATACTTGCCAACTACCAGGTCCCCCAAGACAGAAGGCACACGTGGGTAGACCTGGGTGTTCCTGATGGGAGTGCCCAGAAAAGAACCTCTCTTGGAAAGAAGGACCCTGCTGAACCAGGGCTTACAGATCATAGTTCCATGTGGAAGGCCCTCTGGAATATTTGTGAAGGCCATTGGGGAGGACAGGCTGGAATTTCCACCTGAGCTTAGCCACTTACAGATGGTATGACCTTTGTGAGTTAATGCGTGTCTTCGTGGAATGGCTGTCTGGCATTCTGTGGCCTTCCGGTGCATCTTTCCCCTTCCAGCAGCCCTCCAATTTTCTTTTGGGGAACTATTTGTCCTCTCCCTGGCTTGAACGTCATCAAGGAGGTTGCTGGAGGGGATGTCTGTGGGAGATGCAATTGACTCAAAGCCAACACAAGCTTGCTCCATACCTTTATTTACCTGAATGTCTGGGGTCTGGAACAGCTCTGAGTGAGTAGAATTTCCTGTAAGTGAAATCATATTTTAATTGCAGGGGGACATTTGCTTTTTAAAGGGAACTTGTTGAAAATATTTATAAAACAACAAAAAAATCATTTAGCTGTGCATGTAATTGCTCCCCAATTTCTGCACTAAATTCGTACTTTCTAATTGGGTTGTAAACTCTCAAAGCATCTGCACTGGGCTTGCTTCGGTTTGCTTCTCCTCCCTGCTCCCCTCCCAGCCTTGCCTGTTCCCTGTCTGCTCTGTGTCCTGGGATGCAGGGCTCTGGAGCCTGGAGCAGTGGGCTCCCATGATGTCTAGTTTCCAGCTGGGTTCACTCCACGGGATAGTGTGTGGAAGACAGGAGGGGAGGGAGTCTGGGTATCCACCTCCCCAGCCCTTCCTTTCGGATTCCCTGTGGGTCATGTACTTCCTCTTCCTAAAGGTCCTGGCTTCTGTCCAGGGAGCTCTCATTGCCACTACCCTCTTGGCTTCCTGTAATTACTTCTTCACTTTTAGGAATCGTCCCCTGATGTTGCTGGCCACAGAATTCTGAATTAGCCTGCACTGATTTCCTAAATCCTATCTGTGCCTTTGTAAATAGTCTCTTTATTAAACTCCCCTCAAACTGCCCAGTCTGAGTGTGCCATCTGCATCTCCAGGGACCCTGGAAGATGTGATATTCAAAATTTGATTTTGTACAATATTTTTAAAAGCTCTGTGGTGTTCTCTTTCTCTTTTGAAGGCCTCAGGAAAGATTTAGGATCTGTGTGTTCAATTGAATTGCTATTGTTTGAACTTTAAAAACCAGAGCTGACCTTTGGAGAAGAGGAGAAGGGTAGCTTTGTGTCTTTCTTCAGTGCAAGACTCAACTGAGTTTTAAAAGTCACAGCTGCTGGACCAAATTGAAGATGGTTTCATCCCCAAGGGCGATAGCCCCGGAAAGCTCAGAGTAAGTTACAACAGGACTGGAGAGAGACGGCACCAGGTCTGCTGCTGTTTTCACTACTGTGAGCCTTACATGAAAGCCAGATCAAGGGTTGGGGGCTGGAGGAAAGAAATCAGGACAGTAGGATGGCAAGTTCCCTGCTTTCAAAGGGGTCCTGAGATAGGGTTCTGAAGAGGGGAATGCATTCCGGAATCCACTGATAGTTACTAAGAAAAGACACAAGTCAATAAGATAAATATTGATGGAACATCCAGTGGATTTTTCGTGGCTGCTCACCGGGACGCTGTCATCCCTCAGTGTAGAAGGTATTCAGGGACGGGAAGAGGTTCCTGAGGATGAGTGGATAGAAGTGGGTTGTGGTACAGTATGCAAGTATGAGCTTGCCTTTGTGGAAGGGAGAATGGAGTCTGTATCTATTTAGAGCATGTAAACTCATGAGCTGGAGGGGAGCCGTATACCTCACATGTGAGGTATAGCAGAGAGCAGGGACAAGGGAGAGAAGCAGATACCTAGAGACAGAGAGAACCAGTCGTGAGAACCTGCATGGAGTCCGTTGTTCTTATCAGGGGTCCCACAGCCCTTCGGTAAATCCCTCTTTGTCTCCTGGGCTGGCCTGAAGTGGGGTCAGTTATTTGCCACATTGAGAATTCTGAGACATTTAGCACTGCTGTGATCACGCCCATTTTCCAGATGCAGAAACAAAGGCTGAGAGAAGCCACGCAACTTGGAAGTAAATGGTGAAGTTCAGATTCGAACCCAGGTCATCTGAGCTGAATACTGATATTTGCCACGTTGCTGGAGCCAGGGGCTTCCAGGAGTTACTTGGAGGTGACTCTGAGGCACCTGACTCTGTTAGGGCATCAACAGAAAACCGTGGTACCTCAAGGGATTTCAAAAGAGATTTTCTTAATGGAGGGTCTGCTCCTGGTCTGAGTTTAGGGAAACAAGGGATGTTGAGGCACGCAGGCACTAGCAGCAGTGGGGAGCTGTTATGCCCTCCAGTGGAAGGCCATGGAAGAGTGTTTCCAGCTGCTGGGGAGAAGGGCAGCGTGGAGGAGGGCCACCGACTGAAGCCCCTGCCAGAACCATGGGGAGGGAGGGAGAGAAGAATGTGGGGGATAAATATTCTACACTTTGCCTCCCCACTGCCCCACCCCCCACAACCCCCATCTCCTGCCACTGTAGGCTATTGGCTGGATTAACCAGGAAGTGGAGGACCAGGGATCCCAGACAGTGCGGTCCCTAGGGCTCAGCCTTCCAGGGGGCAGGGCCAGGCAGGGAATGTTCGGGAAGCGATGGAAATACCCTAACCAGCACACTACTCACCCTGCGGAGTCCAGCTGAGTCCTAAATGCCTTTGTGAGCAGGACTTAGGGGAGCCCTGTGTGGATAAAGGGGCTTCCTGGAGAAGCAGCTGAGTGGAGAGAGGGAGGGGCTGCCCCAAGGGAGGCGTCCTCCTGGCTTGTCCCCTGGAGGTGGTGTCCCTCTATGCCACATACCCCTTCTCCCTCCCCTTGCCCCTTTCTCCCATTTTTTTGTCTCCATAGATTCTACTTTCTTTCTCTTTTCCCATAAAATGAAACCCACGGAGGAAAAGGGCAGCAGGGGCCCTTGCAGGGATCTCCCCTCACCCAAACTCCCCCTCCACACACTCCTAACAGGCATGGGATGCATGTGTGTTGCAGCTATGATTATTTATTCATTTATTTTTAGAGACAGGGTCTTGCTCTGTCAGCCAAGCTGGAGTGCAGTGGCACAGTCATAGCTCACTGCAGCCTTGAACTCCTGTGCTTGAGTGATCCTCTGCCTCAGCCTCCTGATTAACTGGGACTACAGGTGTATGCCACTGCACCTGGTTAATTTGTCTATTTTATTGTAGAGACAGGGTCTCGCGATGTTGTCTAGGCTGGTGTCGAATGCCTGGGCTCAAGTGGTTCTTCTGCCTCAGTCTGCCAAAGCGCTGGGATTACAGGCATGAGCCATATGAGTGAAGCAGGGGGGTGAGATCAAGGCTGGGAGAGACTTGGAATGGCAGTTCTGAGACAAGGATCTGGGCGCAGGAGGTTTATGTGTCAGGTGATTCCGAGGCACAAGGGAGGGGAGGGGGAAGGGGGACAGGAGACGGGGAGCCAACAGTGGCTGCATTAAAAGCCTGTTGCTAGTGTGGGCGCCTGGACTCCATTCTGTTAGAATCATCTGAGGACATAAGCCAAACTCTTATTGGTGAGGTTTGCTGTGGACAGCATTAAACCCTCATCAGTTCTGGGCTGTTCTACAGATAGTGGGAGTGATGGCACGTCTTTGTACCCATCACTGGTGGGTTGCAGGGTGGGGAAAGGCTGGTGGCAGGGGCCCTGATTAGGGGAGAGCCTGAATAAGCCCTTCAGCTGAACTTAGAGGGGTAAGGAGCCTTCAGAGAGGCTGGAGACTGTGCACATGTCACCAGTGAGTGCCCGTGAGCCTGGAAGTGGCTGCTGCTTGCTGGACACACTGGAGTCTGGCAGGGTCAGCTGAGCAGCTCTTGTCTCCTCGGCTGTCCAGCCAGCCTGGCAGCCTCCTGGGACCTTTGATGACTTGATCCTAGTGCCTGGTGGAGGAAGGGAGGCGGTGGGCCCTCCAGGCCAGGCCACACAGACCAGCCTTTGTGCCGTGTGGCCTACGGGAGGTGTAGGCTGTCTGCACGCTCAGCACGGCTGGGCCTCAACACAGGCTCTCTTTGTGGTGCCCAGGAACCAGGAGGTGCGGGGGTGGGACATGGTGGTGGGTGGCGCAGGAGCAGGTTTCCCCAGGAGCAGCCACGTTGTGACGTGTTGGGGTGACCGCCCCAACAGAGACTTGGGGGAAGGTAGCAGGCTGGGCCAAGGGGCACCAGCAGCTTCCGGGGGCTGGGGGTGGAAGGTTCCTGGAGGAGGTTCCCTCTGGCCAGCCCCGGGATTCCACACAGCAGGCAGAGGCCACCTCCTACAAGCAGCCCTCCAGGCCCACCTGCCTGGCCTGAGCTTAAGCCCCTCCTGACTCTAATTCTTGCTAATTAAAGCTGCCCAATGACTCAGGGCCCTTGGAACCTGCCGTTGGGCTTTTAACATCTCAGGAGCCACGGTTTCAAATGCACAAGCATGAATGTTTATAAGGTTTGTTCTGGCAAGATTCCTGGTCAACTGAAAGGGTCTGTGTGGGTCCATGGCATCTTAAGGCCCAGACCAGCTCCTCCTTGACCATTTTCCTGGCCTCATCCCCTGCTCTGTAATTTGCTCACATGGTCCTGCCAGGCAGGGCCAGCCTCATGGGCTTGTAACCTGTGGAGTCACACGGTGTCCCATGCCCAGATGAGCCCTTGCACTTGGCTTCGTACTCTGCTGTCACTATCTTGGAATTCTTAATACCTTTTGAACAAGGGGCCCACATTTTCATTTTGCACTGAACCCCACAAAAATATAGCCAGTCCTGCCTCAGGGCTCAGGGAGGGGACAGGAGAGCTCTCAGTCATAGCTCGAGAGAGTCCTTAGCCCACCTCCCCAACCTCTCCCTGACTCAGGCCTCCACCACCATGGCGGGGGCTAAGTGACAGTCTCTCTTTTTTTTTGAGACAGAGTCTCGCTCTTGTTGCCCAGGCTGGAGTGCAATGGTGCGATCTCGGCTCATTGTAACCTCCACCACCCGGGTTCAAGCAATTTTCCTGCCTGAGTCTCCTGAGTAGCTAAGATTACAGGTGCTCGCCACCATGCCCGGCTAATTTTTGTATTTTTAGTAGAGATGGGGTTTCACCATGTTGGCCAGGCTGGTCTCAAACTCCTGACCTCAGGTGATCCTCCGGCCTTGTCCTCCCAAAGTGCTGGGATTACAGACGTGAGCCACTGCGCCCGGCCAAAGTGACAGTCTCTTAAGCACTTTGTGGACATCAACTTACTCTGAAACCTCCTGCACAATTATTTTTTTAAAAATAATTGCTTCATTAAAATTACATACACTTATTGTGAAATTTTAAACAATGTAGAAAAATACCAAGAAGAAAGTGAAGAAAAAATGATTCAAATTCCATTATGAAGAGATCACTGTTATTAGCATTTTGGTGAACTTTATTATGGTGCTCTGTGTGTGCGTGTGTATTTATATATATTTATATTCACACCTATATATATGTATCTACACACATTTACCTACATATAGTTTTATGTAAATGGGATCATAATGTACATATTATATGTCTGTGTGTGTATATATATTTAACAATATATTAAGTTTTGGGCAGTTCAAGGTCCAGGACCTATAGATTTATTTCACTAATTCTGACAGTTGCATGGAGTTCCATTGCACTTTAAACCATCATAAATGACTGACCCAGTCCCCTGTAGCTGCATGTGGCAGCGGCTGCCACATGTTCACTCTTAAAAACAAGGCCATGGGGTCTGGGCGCGGTGGCTCATGCCTGTAATCCTAGCACTGTGAGAGGCTGAGACAGGCATATCACCTGAGGTCAGGAGTTCGAGACCAGCCTGGCCAAGATGGCAAAACCCCATCTCTACTAAAAATACAAAAATTAGTCAAGTGTCATGGCAGGCACCTGTAATCCCAGCTACTCAAGAGGCTGAGGCTGGAGAATCGCTTGAACCTGAGAGACAGAGGTTTTAGTGAGCCGAGATTGTGCCACTGCACTCCAGCCTGGGTGACAGAGAGAGACTCTGTCTCAAAAAAAAAAACAAACAAAAAACAAGGCTATGGTGAACATTCCTACAGATACACCTTTGGTGGGGAGGGCAATCCTGGGTTTCCTGTTCCCTTGTTTATAACGGAGGGGCTGAAACGTTCAGAAGCCCCGAGCAGTGGGCAGTTAGATGGGGGCATATTTCAACCCCCGGGGTTGAAGTGGTTGTTCCCAAACCTGACTGTATTTTCTTTTTTTTTTTTTTTTTTTTTTTTTTTATTATACTTTAAGTTTTAGGGTACATGTGCACATTGTGCAGGTTAGTTACATATGTATACATGTGCCATGCTGGTGCGCTGCACCCACTAATGTGTCATCTAGCATTAGGTATATCTCCCAATGCTATCCCTCCCCCCTCCCCCGACCCCATCACAGTCCCCAGAGTGTGATATTCCCCTTCCTGTGTCCATGTGATCTCATTGTTCAATTCCCACCTATGAGTGAGAATATGCGGTGTTTGGTTTTTTGTTCTTGCGATAGTTTACTGAGAATGATGGTTTCCAATTTCATCCATGTCCCTACAAAGGATATGAACTCATCATTTTTTATGGCTGCATAGTATTCCATGGTGTATATGTGCCACATTTTCTTAATCCAGTCTATCATTGTTGGACATTTGGGTTGGTTCCAAGTCTTTGCTATTGTGAATAGTGCCGCAATAAACATACGTGTGCGTGTGTCTTTATAGCAGCATGATTTATAGTCCTTTGGGTATATACCCAGTAATGGGATGGCTGGGTCAAATGGTATTTCTAGTTCTAGATCCCTGAGGAATCGCCACACTGACTTCCACAATGGTTGAACTAGTTTACAGTCCCACCAACAGTGTAAAATTTTTCCTATTTCTCCACATCCTCTCCAGCACCTGTTGTTTCCTGACTTTTTAATGATTGCCATTCTAACTGGTGTGAGATGATATCTCATAGTGGTTTTGATTTGCATTTCTCTGATGGCCAGTGATGATGAGCATTTCTTCATGTGTTTTTTGGCTGCATAAATGTCTTCTTTTGAGAAGTGTCTGTTCATGTCCTTAGCCCACTTTTTGATGGGGTTGTTTGTTTTTTTCTTGTAAATTTGTTTGAGTTCATTGTAGATTCTGGATATTAGCCCTTTGTCAGATGAGTAGGTTGCGAAAATTTTCTCCCATGTTGTAGGTTGCCTGTTCACTCTGATGGTAGTTTCTTTTGCTGTGCAGAAGCTCTTTAGTTTAATTAGATCCCATTTGTCAATTTTGGCTTTTGTTGCCATTGCTTTTGGTGTTTTGGACATGAAGTCCTTGCCCACGCCTATGTCCTGAATGGTAATGCCTAGGTTTTCTTCTAGGGTTTTTATGGTTTTAGGTCTAACGTTTAAATCTTTAATCCATCTTGAATTGATTTTTGTATAAGGTGTAAGGAAGGGATCCAGTTTCAGCTTTCTACATATGGCTAGCCAGTTTTCCCAGCACCATTTATTAAATAGGGAATCCTTTCCCCATTGCTTGTTTTTCTCAGGTTTGTCAAAGATCAGATAGTTGTAGATATGCGGCATTATTTCTGAGGGCTCTGTTCTGTTCCATTGATCTATATCTCTGTTTTGGTACCAGTACCATGCTGTTTTGGTTACTGTAGCCTTGTAGTATAGTTTGAAGTCAGGTAGTGTGATGCCTCCAGCTTTGTTCTTTTGGCTTAGGATTGACTTGGCAATGCGGGCTCTTTTTTGGTTCCATATGAACTTTAAAGTAGTTTTTTCCAATTCTGTGAAGAAAGTCATTGGTAGCTTGATGGGGATGGCATTGAATCTGTAAATTACCTTGGGGAGTATGGCCATTTTCACGATATTGATTCTTCCTACCCATGAGCATGGAATGTTCTTCCATTTGTTTGTGTCCTCTTTTATTTCCTTGAGCAGTGGTTTGTAGTTCTCCTTGAAGAGGTCCTTCACATCCCTTGTAAGTTGGATTCCTAGGTATTTTATTCTCTTTGAAGCAATTGTGAATGGGAGTTCACCCATGATTTGGCTCTCTGTTTGTCTGTTGTTGGTGTATAAGAATGCTTGTGATTTTTGTACATTGATTTTGTATCCTGAGACTTTGCTGAAGTTGCTTATCAGCTTAAGGAGATTTTGGGCTGAGACGATGGGGTTTTCTAGATAAACAATCATGTCGTCTGCAAACAGGGACAATTTGACTTCCTCTTTTCCTAATTGAATACCCTTTATTTCCTTCTCCTGCCTCATTGCCCTGGCCAGAACTTCCAACACTATGTTGAATAGGAGCGGTGAGAGAGGGCATCCCTGTCTTGTGCCAGTTTTCAAAGGGAATGCTTCCAGTTTTTGCCCATTCAGTATGATATTGGCTGTGGGTTTGTCATAGATAGCTCTTATTATTTTGAAATACGTCCCATCAATACCTAATTTATTGAGAGTTTTTAGCATGAAGGGTTGTTGAATTTTGTCAAAGGCTTTTTCTGCATCTATTGAGATAATCATGTGGTTTTTGTCTTTGGCTCTGTTTATATGCTGGATTACATTTATTGATTTGCGTATATTGAACCAGCCTTGCATCCCAGGGATGAAGCCCACTTGATCATGGTGGATAAGCTTTTTGATGTGCTGCTGGATTCGGTTTGCCAGTATTTTATTGAGGATTTTTGCATCAATGTTCATCAAGGATATTGGTCTAAAATTCTCTTTTTTGGTTGTGTCTCTGCCCGGCTTTGGTATCAGAATGATGCTGGCCTCATAAAATGAGTTAGGGAGGATTCCCTCTTTTTCTATTGATTGGAATAGTTTCAGAAGGAATGGTACCAGTTCCTCCTTGTACCTCTGGTAGAATTCGGCTGTGAATCCATCTGGTCCTGGACTCTTTTTGGTTGGTAAACTATTGATTATTGCCACAATTTCAGAGCCTGTTATTGGTCTATTCAGAGATTCAACTTCTTCCTGGTTTAGTCTTGGGAGAGTGTATGTGTTGAGGAATGTATCCATTTCTTCTAGATTTTCTAGTTTATTTGCGTAGAGGTGTTTGTAGTATTCTCTGATGGTAGTTTGTATTTCTGTGGGATTGGTGGTGATATCCCCTTTATCATTTTTTATTGTGTCTATTTGATTCTTCTCTCTTTTTTTCTTTATTAGTCTTGCTAGTGGTCTATCAATTTTGTTGATCCTTTCAAAAAACCAGCTCCTGGATTCATTGATTTTTTGAAGGGTTTTTTGTGTCTCTATTTCCTTCAGTTCTGCTCTGATTTTAGTTATTTCTTGCCTTCTGCTAGCTTTTGAATGTGTTTGCTCTTGCTTTTCTAGTTCTTTTAATTGTGATGTTAGGGTGTCAATTTTGGATCTTTCCTGCTTTCTCTTGTAGGCATTTAGTGCTATAAATTTCCCTCTACACACTGCTTTGAATGCGTCCCAGAGATTCTGGTATGTGGTGTCTTTGTTCTCGTTGGTTTCAAAGAACATCTTTATTTCTGCCTTCATTTCGTTATGTACCCAGTAGTCATTCGGGAGCAGGTTGTTCAGTTTCCATGTAGTTGAGCGGCTTTGAGTGAGATTCTTAATCCTGAGTTCTAGTTTGATTGCACTGTGGTCTGAGAGATAGTTTGTTATAATTTCTGCTCTTTTACATTTGCTGAGGAGAGCTTTACTTCCAACTATGTGGTCAATTTTGGAATAGGTGTGGTGTGGTGCTGAAAAAAATGTATATTCTGTTGATTTGGGGTGGAGAGTTCTGCAGATGTCTATTAGGTCTGCTTGGTGCAGAGCTGAGTTCAATTCCTGGGTATCCTTGTTGACTTTCTGTCTCGTTGATCTGTCTAATGTTGACAGTGGGGTGCTAAAGTCTCCCATTATTAATGTGTGGGAGTCTAAGTCTTTTTGTAGGTCACTGAGGACTTGCTTTATGAATCTGGGTGCTCCTGTATTGGGTGCATAAATATTTAGGATAGTTAGCTCCTCTTGTTGAATTGATCCCTTTACCATTATGTAATGGCCTTCTTTGTCTCTTTTGATCTTTGTTGGTTTAAAGTCTGTTTTATCCGAGACTAGGATTGCAACCCCTGCCTTTTTTTGTTTTCCATTGGCTTGGTAGATCTTCCTCCATCCTTTTATTTTGAGCCTATGTGTGTCTGTGCACGTGAGATGGGTTTCCTGAATACAGCACACTGATGGGTCTTGACTCTTTATCCAACTTGCCAGTCTGTGTCTTTTAATTGCAGAATTTAGTCCATTTATATTTAAAGTTAATATTGTTATGTGTGAATTTGATCCTGTCATTATGATGTTAGCTGGTGATTTTGCTCATTAGTTGATGCAGTTTCTTCCTAGTCTCGATGGTCTTTACATTTTGGCATGATTTTGCAGCGGCTGGTACCGGTTGTTCCTTTCCATGTTTAGCGCTTCCTTCAGGAGCTCTTTTAGGGCAGGCCTGGTGGTGACAAAATCTCTCAGCATTTGCTTGTCTATAAAGTATTTTATTTCTCCTTCACTTATGAAGCTTAGTTTGGCTGGATATGAAATTCTGGGTTGAAAATTCTTTTCTTTAAGAATGTTGAATATTGGCCCCCACTCTCTTCTGGCTTGTAGGGTTTCTGCCGAGAGATCCGCTGTTAGTCTGATGGGCTTTCCTTTGAGGGTAACCCGACCTTTCTCTCTGGCTGCCCTTAACATTTTTTCCTTCATTTCAACTTTGTTGAATCTGACAATTATGTGTCTTGGAGTTGCTCTTCTCGAGGAGTATCTTTGTGGCGTTCTCTGTATTTCCTGAATCTGAACGTTGGCCTGCCTTGCTAGATTGGGGAAGTTCTCCTGGATAATATCCTGCAGAGTGTTTTCCAACTTGGTTCCATTCTCCACATCACTTTCAGGTACACCAATCAGACGTAGATTTGGTCTTTTCACATAGTCCCATATTTCTTGGAGGCTTTGCTCATTTCTTTTTATTCTTTTTTCTCTAAACTTCCCTTCTCGCTTCATTTCATTCATTTCATCTTCCATTGCTGATACCCTTTCTTCCAGTTGATCGCATCGGCTCCTGAGGCTTCTGCATTCTTCACGTAGTTCTCGAGCCTTGGTTTTCAGCTCCATCAGCTCCTTTAAGCACTTCTCTGTATTGGTTATTCTAGTTATACATTCTTCTAAATTTTTTTCAAAGTTTTCAACTTCTTTGCCTTTGGTTTGAATGTCCTCCCGTAGCTCAGAGTAATTTGATCGTCTGAAGCCTTCTTCTCTCAGCTCGTCAAAATCATTCTCCATCCAGCTTTGTTCCGTTGCTGGTGAGGAACTGCGTTCCTTTGGAGGAGGAGAGGCGCTCTGCGTTTTAGAGTTTCCAGTTTTTCTGTTCTGTTTTTTCCCCATCTTTGTGGTTTTATCTACTTTTGGTCTTTGATGATGGTGATGTACAGATGGGTTTTCGGTGTAGATGTCCTTTCTGTTTGTTAGTTTTCCTTCTAACAGACAGGACCCTCAGCTGCAGGTCTGTTGGAATACCCTGCCGTGTGAGGTGTCAGTGTGCCCCTGCTGGGGGGTGCCTCCCAGTTAGGCTGCTCGGGGGTCAGGGGTCAGGGACCCACTTGAGGAGGCAGTCTGCCCGTTCTCAGATCTCCAGCTGCGTGCTGGGAGAACCACTGCTCTCTTCAAAGCTGTCAGACAGGGACACTTAAGTCTGCAGAGGTTACTGCTGTCTTTTTGTTTGTCTGTGCCCTGCCCCCAGAGGTGGAGCCTACAGAGGCAGGCAGGCCTCCTTGAGCTGTGGTGGGCTCCACCCAGTTCGAGCTTCCCGGCTGCTTTGTTTACCTAAGTAAGCCTGGGCAATGGCGGGCGCCCCTCCCCCAGCCTCGTTGCCGCCTTGCAGTTTGATCTCAGACTGCTGTGCTAGCAATCAGCGAGATTCCGTGGGCGTTGGACCCTCTGAGCCAGGTGTGGGATATAGTCTCGTGGTGCGCCGTTTCTTAAGCCGGTCTGAAAAGCGCAATATTCGGATGGGAGTGACCCGATTTTCCAGGTGCGTCCGTCACCCCTTTCTTTGACTCGGAAAGGGAACTCCCTGACCCCTTGCGCTTCCCAGGTGAGGCAATGCCTCGCCCTGCTTCGGCTCGCGCACGGTGCGCACACACACTGGACTGCGCCCACTGTCTGGCACTCCCTAGTGAGATGAACCCGGTACCTCAGATGGAAATGCAGAAATCACCCGTCTTCTGCGTCGCTCACGCTGGGAGCTGTAGACCGGAGCTGTTCCTATTCGGCCATCTTGGCTCCTCTCGACTGTATTTTCATTCTCCAAGGCACGTGTTGAATATCCCAACCCAAATCTCCGGGGACCCAGTCACCCTGCTGCCCTTTGCACAGGCCCCAGAGACTTGTTCTTTTTTTTTTTTTTTTTTAATTTTTGTTTGTAGAGATAAGGTCTTGCCATGCTGCTCAGGCTGGCCTTGAATGCCTGGGCTCGTGATCCTCCTGCCTTGGCCTCCCAAAGCGCTGGGAGTATAGGTGTGAGCCACCGAGCCCAGCTGACTTGCTTCTTTAAATTAGTTCCTAGCAGACCCACTTGTGCTTTCCTCCTTTGCCTCTGGCCCTGGGTGTCCTCTCTGAGAAGGGACAACGACAGCGCTCTGCTCTGAGGAGCTGGCTCAGTTGCCTGTCACTTGGATGATGCCTCGTGCCATAGCTTTGGACATCTCCATCAGCACTGCGTCCCCTGCCTTGCAGCACCTGACATAATGGCAGGTGCCCAACAAGTATCTTTGCATTGGATGAAAAGTCTTCTTGGCCGGGCGCAGTGGCTCACACCTGTAAACCCAGCACTTTGGGAGGCCGAGGTGGACAGATCACCTGACATCAGGAGTTCAAGACCAGCCTGGCCAACATGGTGAAACCCTGTCTCTACTAAAAATACAAAAATTAGCCGGGTGTGGTGGTGGGTGCCTGTAATCCCAGCTACTTGGGAAGCTGAGACAGGAGAATCTCTTGAACCCAGGAGGCGGAGGTTTTAGTGAGCCGAGATCACACCACTGCACTCCAGCCTGGGCAACAAAGAGCGAAACTCTGTCTCAGAAAAAAAAAAAAAAAAGAAAAGAAAAGTAGTTTCACATCCTTTTTTTTAAATTTCCCCTCAACATTTTATTATAAAGATTTTCAAACACACAGAAAAGTTGAATGCATTTTCCAGTGAACACCCACATATGTACCCCCTAGATGGCATTTTACTGTATCTCTTCATCACACAGCTCTGCATCTACCCATTACTTCATCTTATTGTTTTCCACCTTTCAAGGGGAGCCACAAACCTCAGTACACTTCACTCCCAAAGGTCTCCACATGTATATCATTAAGTAGCATTCAGGAATGCCTTTATAGTTCATTTTAGGTAAAATTTACATAGAGTGAAATGTTCCAATCTTAAGTGCACCATTTGCTGGATTGTGACAAATGCAGACATCTGTTAAATCAGACTCCTCCCAAGGGAAGGATGTTCCCGTCCCCTCAGAAGGTTCCTTCGTGTCCCTTGCCAGTCAGGCCACCCCCACACTGCCCCCTGCGGCAACCCCTGTTCAGGTTTTTATTTCATTATAGATGAGTGTTTCCTGTTCTAAAACTTCTTAGAAATGATTTGTACTGCAGGTGCCCTTCTGAATTCTGGCTTCTTTCCCTCCCTGTAGCGATTCTGAAATCTGTCCTCGTTGCTGTGGGTTTCAGTAGCTTGTCCCCTGCTGTTGCTGAGCGGGGTCCCCCTGTGTGCATGTACCTACCATGGGGTGTTCATCCCTCCCACTCTGTATCACTCAGCACACATTAAAACACCCTTATATACTATCTCTCACTCAACTCAATTTGCCTGAGGTCCCACTGCCAATTCAAGGGCAGTCAGGATTTGTCTCTATGTTTCCAGGCAGGGAACCCATCCAAAGGTCACCGATGAAGACCTGCCCAATCTTACTGGCCCTCCGGTGGCCTCTACTCAATCTGCCCCCTGCCCCAGCCAGCACTGCAGGGCTTCCTGACGGTGGTGGGTACGTTGGCTGCCTCGGCTTCCTCTCCTCATGTTCCCCCTTCAATTCACTGCAGGCTGGCTTTGGCTGCCCCTTCCCATCTTATCAGTCCTCCTAGTAACATCCAACGCGGCCACCCCCGCTGCTCAGAGAAACCTCCCCTCTGTTGCCCTCTGTGCTCACCCGCCTGCCTCCACGGCTGCTGCGACTCAGTTTCCTTGGCTGTCCCTCCTCTCGGTGACCTTCAGCGTTGAGGAGTCTTCAAGGTCTAGCTCTGGACGGTTGTCTCTGCTCTCTGAACTCTCACTTCCTACAAGGTTGCATCCAGAACCATGGCTTTAAATTCCACCCAGGTGCTGGTAACGCCACAGCCAGACCTTCCCTTAATTCCGGAATCTCCAGGCTTGGATAACCATAATCTCCACTTCAGGCTCAAATAATCCTCCCAAATTTAACAGCACCAGAAACAGAAGCCTTGGTTCCCCTCTCTAGTCTGATCCTGCCCTGCCCTCCCATCCCCAGTAAGTGGTCCCATGAACCCAGAGGTAGCTCAAGCCTGAAGCCTGGGGGTTGTTCTTGATTTCTCCCATGTCCTTGTCTCCTACATCTAACTTATTACCAATCCACAGAGCATCCATCTCCAAATCACATGCTTTTTTTAAACCATAGTGTGGAGGTATGATTGACACACAAAAAGCTGTAGGTTTTTTTTTGTTTGTTTTGAGACGGAACTTTGCTCTGTCTCCCAGGCTGGAGTGCAGTGGTGTGATCTCGGCTTGCTGCAACCTCCACCTCCCAGGTTCAAATGATTCTCATACCTCAGCCTCCCGAGTAGCTGGGATTACAGGCATGAGCCACCATGCCTGGCTAATTTTTGCATTTTTAGTAGAGATGGGGTTTTACCATGTTGCCCAGGTGGTCTCAAACTCCTGACCTCAAGTGATCCACCCGCCATGGCCTCCCAGAGTGCTGGGATTACAGGCATGAGCCACCACGCCCAGCCTGTAGATATTTAATGTATACAACTTGATGGATGGAGATATGTACACACCTGCGAAAACATTCATCAAGGCCATAAACTTATCCATCACTCTAAGTGTCCTTCCGTCTCCTCTGTTTCTTTTTCATTTCCTTATGTGGTAAGAGGACTAAACATGAGATCTACTCTGTTAGCAAATGTGTAAGTGTACAGTACAGTATTGTTAATCACAGGCCCTAGTTGTACAGTAGATCTCCAGAATGTATTCATCCTGCGTAACTGAGACATTGTACCCTTTGACCAACATCACTCTGTTTCCCCCTCTTCCCAGTCCCTGGCAATCATCATTCTACTTTCTGCTTCTATGAGTTTGGCTGTTTTCCGTTCCATGTATAAGAGAGAAAGAGCAGTATTTGATTTTCTCTGTCTGAGTTACTTCAGGATCTCATCATGTCCTCCAGGTCCATCCATGTTGTCACAAATGGCAGGATTGATCCCTCTCTCCCTTCCTTCCTTCCCTCCTTTCTTCTTTCTTTCTCTTTTTTAGATACCGGGTCTCGCTCTGTTGCCCAGGCTGGAATGCAACAGTGCTGTCATAGCTCAGGGCAGCCTCCAGCTCCTGGGCTCAAGTGATCCTCCTGCCTCATCCTCTTGAGCAGTTCAAACTACAGGCATGCGCCATGATACCCGGCTAATTTTTAAATTTTTTGTAGAGACAGGATCTTGCTTTGTTGCCCAGGCTGGTCTCAAACTTCTGGTTTCAAGTGATTGATTCTCCTGCCTTGGCCTCCCAAAGTGCTGGGATTACAGGTGTGACCAACCACCCTGGCCCTGGATTTCCTTCTTTTTAAATGTCGAATAATATTCCCTCATAGGTGTATACTACAATTTCTTTATCCATTTTTCCACTGACGGACATTTAGGTTGTTTCCAGATCTTGGCCATTTGTGAGTAACACCGCAATGAACCTGGGTGCGCAGATATCATCTCTTCAAGATCCTGATTTCAGTTCCTTCAAATACAATCTTAAACCTCTCCCCTTCTTTACCCCCACTGCCACTGCCCTAGTCCTTGGGCCATGCTTAAACTACAAGTATTTCTGGTTTATCTGTAATTCAGATGTAACTGGCTGCCCTGCCTGTGAGGGGCTGCAGCCGGCTAGCACCTCCTCTCTAACCTCGTCCCCACTATGGAGTTCCTGTTCCTGCTACCCAGGCCAGGCGGGCTCAGAGTGAGCCAGGACAACCCCCTGCCTCCGCTTCTTTCCCCCTGCCTCCGCTTCTTTCCCCCTGCAGGCATCTGAGGGGGAAGCAGATCCTCTGCAACCGCGAGATCTGAGATGTCTCCGCTGCTCAGGCAGAGCGGGGTCTCTGCCCTACTGCTCAGACACAGGCGTTCCACTTGGCTTGCTGTCAAGAGACTGACTCCAGAGCTCTGATTTTAAGGATCGAGGAGACTGACATCTGTGAGGATCCCAGCAGAGGGCCTGCCTGGCTTACTCGGGGCCAGTACATGGCAGTGCCCCCTTGGTCCTCCTCATGCCTGCTTCCCCCTGGGCACAGACAGGGGCTGGGCTGGTGAGGAAGCCATTCTCCAGGGGGAGCAGATCTGACAGGACTCATTTCTCCTCTCCCTGAGCAGGCTTCTTTTAAAACTACTGCATGTTTGGCCAGGTACCGTGGTTCATGCCTGTAATCTCAGAACTTTGGGAGGCTAAGGTGGGTGGATCAGCCTGGGCAATATGGTAAAACCCTGTCTTTACAAAAAACATGGAAAAAATCAGCCTGGCATGGTGGCAAGTGCCTATAGTCTCAGCTACTCGGGATGCTGAGATGGGAGGATCACCTGAGCCCGGGAGGTTGAGGCTGTGGTGAGCCATGATCATGCCACTGTACTCCAGCCTGGGTGACAGAGTGAGACCCCGTATCAAAACAAACGAAAAAACTCCCCAAAACCCCCCACTGCATTTTAAACCATGCACAGTAGTGAGCAGTCCTGTTTCAGGGCAGTTCTGGGAATTACAAGGACAAAATCTGGCCTTGTGCCTGGTGGAGCAACGTGGGGGTGTGGACGCCTGTGTGTGAACGCCCCTCACCCACGTGGGACAAAGTCCATCCTCTGTGCCAGGCCCTGGGCAAGCCAGCCCGGCTGATCCACCTTGCTCCTCCCCCTCTCTTCTTTGTGTTCCCTGCAAACTCCTGCCAAGTTTGCAAGCAGAAAGAGCTGACGGTTTGGGGTTGTGCAGAACATTCCTTTCTAGAATAGAAGTCAGCTGGTGGGGAAGCAGATGCCCCTTACTCTCGGTGCCTCAACTTCCTCATTGGCCTAACGGGGCTTAGGAATTCTGCCTGCTTCTCCTGGAGAGCACAGGGGACCCACCAGGCCCCCAGTGCTCAGTAAGAGGGGTACCTTCTGTCCATGCAAGTGGCCCTCCTTTGAGACCCAGCGCCCGACTGCCCAACAACTTGGAGCTGTTTCCTCCTTGTTCATAGCACTTTCTGGCCTCTTCCCTTGCCGTCTTCAGTGGGTGGCATGGTGGCCCTTTCTCTTTACATTTTTTTCTGGCACTAGAATCTGAGCTCCTTGATCTGCAGGGATTGTGGTTTCCCCACACAGTGCCTGGCACACAGATAGTGCTCAATAAATGCTCACCACGGCAGAATTTAACTGTCTTTGAGGTATCCAGAATATAGAGACAGGTTCCTCCAGCTTCCTACTCCCTCAGGCCTATTCTAAAACAAAACCTGAATTTCTGTCCCTGAAGGCAGGTCCTCCTTTAGCCAACTGCAGGTCTCCTTAGGAAGAGTAAGATTCCAAGTCCTAATTTATCCTTTTTATACCTAAGGTGGATCAGCCCTGATTTTATGCTGGGACCTTTACTTGTACTATTTTATTTAATCCTCAAGATAACCCTATGAAGTAGGTACTGTTAATATCATCCCCATTTTACAGATGCAAAAACTGAGGACCAGAGAGATTAGGCAACTTGCCCAAAGTCACACAGCCAGCAAGCAGTGCACAAGGGATTTGAACCCAGACCCTTCTGATACCAGAGCGAATGCCCTTGAACCTCTGGGCTACACTGCCTGAGGGCTGCAGGGCTCTAAAGGGATAAGGAAGGAAGCTTGGAGGGACTGAGTGCCAGGGGAGTGAGAGGGGTGTGTGTATGAGTGTGTGGGTGGGTGGGGCTTTGCAGGGAGGCGGTTGCTACAGAGGGGCAGGGGAAGGGGGGTGCTGGAACGTGGGGAAGGTAGACAGAGGAGCCCCAGAAGCAGTCAGCTGTGCTGACGATGGATGGGGCAGGAGAAGAGAAACCCCAGGCAAGGGAGGTGAAGCTCTGAGCGGCCACACCAAGCTCTCCCTCCTGCCCAGGGCACAGCGCCAGGCCTTACTTTTGAAGCTAACGAGAAGCAGATGAAGGAGTGGGATGGGCTAGAGGCGGAGACTGCCTCTGCTACGTGGCACCCCTCGGCAAGCCTGGAGCTTCTGCCAGCGGCCAAGAGTGGGGCAGGGCCTTGCAGCTGGACTGTGGGTCTCCCTCAGGGTTTACTACAGCTTGGACTTGCCAGCGCAAGAGGGTGGATCTTATTCAAAGATAGGTTCAAACATTAGCAGCCTCAGTGAACGATGCAGCCTGGGCTCCATGGAGTTGCTACCACCCATAAGAGGGTGTCCCTCCTGCCATGGGCTTCCCTTTCCTTCCCTGACACATGGACAATCCAGCCCACAGGTCTGAGCCCCCCAGAGCAGCTGGCTCCCAGGCTGCGCCATCCCTTCCAGGGAGGGGTGGGAGTGGGTAGTGCAGGTGCTTGGAAGCCAGAGGGGTGACTCTGAAGGGATAGCTAGGATTCAGGATCCAGGGAGAGCACTGGGGGCTGGGGTGGCAGCCCCATGTGGGCCAGGACTGGGTGTGTTGGTGACAGCAGCATCCGCAGCACCTTGCATGGTGTGCCTAGTCGATGCATAATCAACACTTTAGTTACGTCACATAACGGCTCTGTAAACAGGATCTGGAATCAGCCATGGGCTTGAACCTCAGTCCCACTATTACTAGCTCAGCAGAGGGCTTGACCCCCCTCCCCAACTTTTTTAGTGACAGGGTCTTGCTCTGTCACTCAGGCTGGAGCGCAGTGGCATGATCATAGTTCACTGCAGCCTTGAACTTGTGGGCTCAGGCGATATTCCAGCTTCAGCCTCCGGAGTAGCTGGGATTATAGGCGTGTGCCACCACACCTGGCTAATTTTTAAATTTTTTGTAGAAATGAGGTTTCACTTTGTTATCCAGGCTAGTCTTGAACTTCTGGGCCCACGTGATCCTCCCGCCTTGGCCTCCCAAAGTGCTGGAATTACAGGCATGAGCTACTGTGCTTGGCCAGGGCTTAACCTCTTTAAGCTTCCATTTTCCTATCCGAGGCTTCCAACTCAGGCAGCTCTGAGCCAGCTCTGAACCAGTCACGACTTGCTGCCTCTTAAAGGTGCAGAGCTCAGCACAGTGCCTGGCACATAGTAAGTGCTTAGTAAAAGCCATCATGGACATTTAATTCACAAACAGGTGGAGGATGCAGCAGAGTGTCCTGGGTCTTCCTGAAAGAAGTGAAGTGATGGCATTTTGTACTTTTCATCATTCATTCATTCAATCTTCATTCAGCTCTCCTACAAACCTGGCCTAAAATGCAGGCAGAGTTGGTGTTGGGGAAGGAGATGGCTGTGGGTCCATTATACTCCATGAAGCCTGTTTGAGGGAAAGAAGCAGAGAGCCCTTCAAGTGAACTGGAGGGAGACGGGCTCCTATTAGGAAACCCTGGACTCAGGGAACTGATTACCAGAGGAGCCTCACAGCAGCCTCCTGGGAACGGAAGGTTACCAGGCAATCCGGGGCTGGGTCACTTCTCTGCCGGCCTGTGCTAGTCTCCCTGCGCACTGACTATCCCCGCGAGACTCTTCTGCTCCCCCAAACTCAGCATGCAACAGACTACGGATTGCCGTGGTAACAACCAGGGCTCCAGTTTTATATGTTCTTACCACTTCCGGGTCAATACCACTTCCAGGTCAATACCACACCCGGGTCAATACTACCTGACTGTGGTTGGGTCTTTTTGAGTTCAAATTCTGTCCCCCTCTCATAAGTGGGGGGGCTATCTGTCTCAAACCTGATAGTTTGCTTCTTCCTCATCAGCAAGAAGGGGGATCACACTCCCAAAAAAGGTAGGCACGCAAAATTGTCTCCTATGAACAGAACAAAAGACCAGCACCTCCCAGCAGCCTTTTCAGATAACTATCTTCACACCATTTACACCATCTTTATTTATCCTCTTACCTCTCTTTCTCCAGGACTGTTAAGAAGCTGAGAGCCACAGTAAAAAGCCACAAGGATGTCCCAAGTTACATTTCCAACCTTGTCACCTGCTTCCTTCACAAACCCACTTTTCTGGGCAGAAAAGTGCACCCTGCCAGCAGAACACGCCTGGTTCCTTCCTCCCTCCAAACTTCCGCCCACACTCGCCTCTGTAGCCTCTGTAGCCAGATGTGCTCCTCTACATATCATTTTTTTTTTTTTTCTTGAGAAAGTTTCTTGCTCTGTTGCTCAGGCTGGAGTACAGTGGCATGATCATGGCTCACTGCCACCTTGACCTCCTGGGCTCAGGCGATCCTCCCACTTCAGTCTCCAGAATAGCTGGGACCACAGGTGCACACCATGCCCAACTAATTAAAAAAAATATTTTTTTGTAGAGACGAGCTCTCACCATGTTTCCCAGACTGGTCTAGAATGCCTGGGCTCAAGCGATCCTCCCTCCTCAGCCTCCCAAAGTGGTGGTATTACAGGTGTGATACCTAATTCAAGAGTTAAATAACATTAAAGAATAATTTGGAGGCTCCCTCCCAGCCTCCAAATCTTCACCAGCCCTCAAAATTAAGCTCAACTTCTGTCTCCTCCAAGAATTTTCCACAGGATTCCAATCTGGAGGGATCAGTGTCCTCTAAGTGTAGCCTTTATTGACTCTTCCACCATTTGGTCTCCTATATTACCATCAGGAAAAATTAGTAAAAGACTTTCAAATGGACAAAAAAGAGCAAATGTCACTGAATGTCCAGCCTAGAGCACTCTTCCAGTTTATCACTGCCTTCCATTGCCTTTGAGCCATTTACAACTCTATAAGTCACAGAGAACTGATAATAGTGCAAATGACTTGAGTTCATAGAAATGCAAATTCCTTGTGTCCCGGGGAATGTACTCGATGGTTGCCCTGTGGATAAACTTCCTCTGCAAGTTCATTTCAGCCTCCTGTTGACTTACATGTGTGTGGTTCTTGGAATTCTCCTTTTAACCAGTTAGAACATCTTAACTACTTCCCATTAATTAATGAGTTAAATAAAATCTTTATATTTTAATGAGAGTCATAATTTTGTCTTTTTTCCAAAAATTATTCTTTAATGTTATTTAACTCTTGAATTAGAAAATATAATGGCTTGGCACCCTGTATCCGTCAGTGTTTTGGGGAGTAGGCAATAGAAAGGGGAAAGGGGGCTGCCAAAAAACAACTGTCTACCCATCTTTCCTTGACAACTAAATTGTGCACTCTGGGCGGGGTGTAGTGGCTCACACCTGTTATCCCAGCACTTTGGGAGGCCACGGTGGAAGGATTGCTTGAGGCCAGTAGTTCAAGACCAGCCTGGACTCTGTCTCTACAAAAAAATAATAATACCTAAGAAATTAGCCAGCTGTGGTGGTGCACACCTGTATTCCCAGTTACTCAGGAGGCTGAGGTGGAAGGATCACTTGAACTCAGGAGTTTGAGGCTGCCGTGAGCTATGACTGCACCACTGCACTCCAGCCTGGGTGACAGAGCAAGACCCTGTTGCTAAATTTTTTTAAATTGTGAGTTGTGTGAGTGCTATATCTAGAAAGTTCACATATTCCTCTTTTCTCTTTTTTACATAATGAGGGATTACTAAGGGGGCTAGTGTACTAGACCCTGTGGAATTATTCTAAAGGAAGTCCAGGGAAAATACGAAATCAGAGAACGTCTGAGCTGGATGAGGTCAGAGAAGCTGCCTTGAGCAAGTCTCTCATTTTTCTCCTGAGGACACCGGGCTGCCTGCGCTGGGGTGTCTGTGTGGCCTGTCAGAGAGTAGGATTTGGGGATTCTCTGACAACTGTTCATGAAATGGGGCATGCTCACTTACCCCAAATCTGGTTATGGTAACGAGTTGGGGGGAACGGCCACCAGCTGATTGGAAACAGAGCCTCCCGAGGCGCATTGGGCTTCCGGGCTGTTTCCCAGCCTCCTTGGCAGCGGACTCCTCTCCCGAGGTATGTTTTGCCGACGTGGCTGGCCGTGGGAAGCTGGGAGGCACACTTTTCTGAAGATCTGTTTGCAAAATTGAAACCCTGCTTTTGAGAACCCTTCACAGTTCGCAGCTGTGAGGAGATGGGAGCGCGAGGCCAGGGGCAGCCTTCCAGCAGCTCTGAGACCCACCAGTGTAACCCAGGATGCCCTCGGCTTGGTCTGGGGCTTCAGCAGCCATGCCTCCAGCGTGTGCCCCTCAGGGGCCCTTTCGGGGAGAACACCCCGTCTTCTCTTTGCTGGGGCTGTTGACCTGTCTTCTCCCTCTCGGTTTCCTCCACTTTAGCTCCCATACCTGGTTTCTGGAAGGCAGGGGTGCAGCTGCAGCTATGGGGCTTCCATCCACTCACCTCACCTTGGGGAGACGAGGGTCCCACACACGGGTGTGGCCACAGGCAGGACTGGGGTGGTCTGGGGTGGGGTGGAGGGCTTTCTGGCAGACAGGTCGCGTGGTCTTCTCCCAGTGGGAAGAGGTGCCTGAGAAAGGCAAGAGCAGGAAGCCAGGCGTCCAGGTCTCCACTCCTCGTTATGGTAACTCTCGTTCCCAACTCCAGAGGGACCCAGTCTGTCCCATTGCAGCACCCCTACTCCTATAACCTGTCTGGAAACAGAAGAGGAAAGGAGGGATGGTGCAGGATGGGATTGACACTACCGATTTCTGACTTATGTTGACTGCTGCATTCTACTTAATCTTCATCACCATCACTGCAGTGCGAGGTAGGGATTATTACCCATCTTACAGATGGTGAAACTGAGGCTGAGAGTGCCCAAAGGCAGTGAGCTCAGTCCTGCCAGCTACCAAAGCCCACAGTCTCCCTATGATACCAGGCTGAATCCTCTCCCTCACAGCCCTCGCCAATTCTTCAGTTTTGTTAATCAGTAAATACCCAAAGTGTCATGGACTGATTAGCAAGACAGACAAGAAAGGGGGAGTCAAGATTTTTCCACTTTGTCTTGTTTTAAAAACTCTTGCACACTTTTGCTTTCCTATTTGAAATGGTCTTGGGTGTGGGTTTTGGAAGCAGCTCCAGATCCCTTAGAGGGGAATTTTCTTTGCATTTTCTTGCAGAGGTTTTCAGCAGGAAGGGTGGAAGTTGCCCTTTTCTTTCCTCACTCAGGAAAGTGGAGGGAACTGAGTGAGGACCTCACCATGGCTGCGGGCCAGCTGGGGCTTTTTGTTCCTTAGGGTTTGCTGGTTGGCCCAGGAGTCTACCAGCTACGCCCATGGGCACAGCTCTCCCCCATCAGGGGTGGCGGCATGGTGGGGGAAGGTGTGCATATCCCCAAGTAACACCCACCACTGCTTATTCAGCCACTCAAGCCTCAATTTCTCCATCTGTTAAATGGGAATAATGATAGAACCCACCTCCTGGGGTGGTTGTGAAGATTAAGATGGGTTTATGCATGTGACTGTCAAAACCACTATCAGGATTGGATACTCACCAAAGCTCCCCGCTCCCCAGATGATCTCTGGAATGAGACTTTCTATTTTCAAGAAAGACTCACACAGTCTTTCATGTTGTGGGGTGCTCCCAACTATTTTACTTTAAACAACCAAGTGCTGTTTAGGCGAGATGTTATCTGAAACAACCTTGATCGGTGGTTTTTTTTTTTTGGCTATTTACTAAGGTTATCTTGAAGGAATTGCTAAAAAGGAAGCTAGGAAATGTAACCCAGATTTGGAACAAATTTCCAAGGGTGTGGCATCACAGTGTTGCACTATGAGAGTGAGCGAGTCTTTTAAGGACACTTAAGAAAGCCATACCATCCGTGGTTACATTATGGAGAGCACGCATTGGCACCTCTGAGATGAATGGAACAGCCAGCTGCCCTAATGTTATGCAAATAGGTGCTCAAGGCTTGGGATAAAAATTTCAGTGAAAGCATCCTACAGATTCCAAAAATGCTGTATCGCCAAGAACCCAGAGGGGAGGAAAGAAGATGTGCTTGGGAAACTAAGATGATTCAAAAGGTGGCTTTGATGATGACAAAGACCATGAGAGCAATGATGAATTGGAAGAGCTGGAATAAAACTGAGTCATGGAATGAGGGCAGAGATAGCAACTTTTCTAAATTAATATATCATTAACATATAATATGTGATTATAAGCATGTAGGGTAAATTAAATGTTATAGATATTTAACTCTTTTATCTACTTATAAAAAGATTATATATTCAATTAGGTCACAAATCCTCTGGGTCTTTTGAGTGGAGAAGTGGGCAATGATCATATTTTGGGGTTGTGTCATATTTGGGTGCTGGAGGGATGCTGCTGGTGCCTTTGCAGAAGGCCTGACTTGTGGCTCTTTTGCCCCAGGTTCCTGTTCTTTGGGCTGCCTGCAGTGGGGATGGCTGGAAGTGCCAGGGAATTAATACAGCCTTGGAACAGCCCTCAACCAATGGCTGATGGGATCTGGGGCATAAATTCCCCAGTGCCCTCATCCCTGGATGAGATGATGCTGAAGTGTGCGCGCTGCACTGGCTCCCAGAGTCCCCAGGGGGCTTGAGCTCCAGCGGCCCCAGCCATAACTTGCTTCCCTGGCTGTCTTCCATTCTCTGTCTTTCTTCCTTGTGCTTCCAGGATTCCCTCCAAAGAAAGTCAATGGACTCAAATCCTTGTCTCAGAGTTCACTTTTGGGGAATTCCAACCTACAAGCACATATGATAAAGGACACCGATTGTTATGATCACTCTTGTTATTATTTTGATAAAGTTCAGGAAAATGAAGTGAACGCTTCGTGTTCTCTGTCCGCAGAGCTTGTGGGAGTCAGGCTAGGAGAATCTTTGAGATCTGGTCAGGAGCGGGGATGTCTGACTGTATATTCATCTCAAAGCAATCTCAAAGTGATATTCTCTTTCCCTCTCATTCAATTATATGCTTGAGCAGCTAAGCCAAAAATCGGTCCATCCAGAGCAATTAAAGGCTTCCTTTGCCAGACCTTGGGGATTTCTCTCTGATCAACGAGAAAAACACTGCAGCTGGAAAACAGCTGAAACCAAGAACAGGGCAGTCAGGTCTTAGCTGTTCAGATGGGGTAAAATTTGTTTTTAAAAGATCCACTAAAATTTGTTTTTAAAAGATCCTTTTATATTTTCAATATGGGATGGTGGGAGGAGGGATGTTATATAAACGATCAGATATTTCGTAGTTTTCCAGCCCTGTTGCCTCCAAACTGGACTTTATTTGTGAAAATTTCTATGGGGCCCCACATACCAGCTCATGAACCACAGTAAGGTAGTTGTTATTATATTTATGCTTAATAATAAAATAATAGCAGGAATCATGTAACATGTAGTTACAATGTGCTGGTCTCTGTGCTAAGAACTTCACTTGTATTATCTCAGCTGACTGATGATACTATAGAGTGGTCAGTGTTATCATCTCTGTCGTATAGATGCAGCTACTCAGCTCAGAGAGGTCAGAGAGGTTGAGTAACTTGTCTGAGATCACACAGCCAGGAAGTCACAGAATGGGGTTACAATCCCAGGCAGTTTGGCTTTAAAGCCTAGGTTCTTTGATATCTGACTTTTTCTAACCTGGTGGAAGGAATGTCTTGGCTGACTTCATTGCCCAAGGCTGGACTCGCCCTGAGCTGCCTTCCTTAAGGAGTTGAAACAAGGTGGGTTTTAGTTCTCATGCTATTTCTCCCTGCCACTCTCACTTATATAGATGTCAGAGAGTTTTGTAAACTGGGTTTCCCTGGGTCTCAGCTGCCTGTAGCTGCAGAAGGTGGCACAGCCTAATGGTGGTGGACATTTCCTGGGCCTGTGGTGTGCAGCTGCGGATGTGATCCTCCAGCCCCTAGGAGACACCTCAGTGTGCAGCCACTGCGGTGTTTGGGAACAGCGGAGTGATTGTTTATCTAGAAATACAGGGTAAATGCAGAAAATACACGACGCTAGTCATGAGCCATCTTAGGTGACCCCCTTTCAAGAAGCAGGCACCAGGAGACTTGGGGGTGTCCATGGAGTCAGGGAGTGGATAAAGAACAAGGAAAGTCTCCCAGGACGTGTTGGGATGCTACAGGGAATAGAGCCGTCCCAGCTTCTCCTAGCCATCATTCACTCTGTGACTGAGGCCCTATCACTCCTCTGCTCCACCTCCTTCTCTGTGAAATGGGCAGATGTTGGCCAGGCGCGGTGGCTCACGCCTGTAATCCCAGCACTTTGGGAGGCCGAGGCAGGCTGATCACAAGGTCAGGAGATTGAGACCATCCTGGCTAACACGGTGAAACCCCGTCTCTACTAAAAATACAAAAAATTAGCTTGGCATGGTGGTGGGCGTCTGTAGTCCCAGCTACTCAGGAGGCTGAGACAGGAGACTGGCGTGAACCCAGGAGGTGGAGCTTGCAGTAAGCCGAGACTGTGCCACTGCACTGTACTCCAGCCTGGGCGACAGAGTGAGACTCTGTCTCAAAAAAAAAAAAAAAAAAAAAAAGAAATGGGCAGATGTTTTAGGGGAGGCCAAGAGGCCCCTCTCTATGATCAGTAATCAGTGGGCAACATTTCCTGCAGGAGACATTCTTCCCTACCCTTGGCTCCATGCAGTGTCTGCTGTCTCCGTGTCCTTAGTCCTTTGGCCCAGGGCATGGCCTGTCTGCGGGTCAGTGTCTCCTTGAGGATCCAGCTGAGCCATAGGTCCCTGAGGTCAGTGAGTGGGGACTTCTTTGTGTTTAGATTTTCACAGAGTAAATCTAGCACAGTGGTTCCCAACCAGGGATGTTTTTGCTCCCCATAGGACATCGGAAATCTCTGGAGATATTTTGGGTTGTCGAAATGGGGAAGAGATTGCCACTGGCATCTGGGGAGGGAGAGGCCAGGATGCTGCTGAACATCCTCCAATGTATAGGATGGTCCCTGCAGGAAAGAACAGACTGGGTCACCATGCGCTGGTGCCAGGTGGGAACACTCTGGTCTAGAGGAAGACTAGGTGGATTCAGGACTGTGGGTCCCAGGTACTGTGGCAGGCCCTTGCTTTTCCTCCTCTTTAAATTCCTTCCCCCAGCAATCAAGAGAAGACCACTAAATAATTATGGCTCAGTCAAGTCACAGTTATTCTTTTCTAAAAACAAGTAATACATGCACTTCATAAGAGACTCTACAAAATGCCCTTCCTCACAAGGGCACACAAGGAAAACTAATGATTTTGCATACCCATGCACACTGGCCCCCTAGTCCCTGCAATGGGGGTGTTCACTGTGAACACGTTTCTTGTGTATCCTTTTAGAGTTTCTCAATCTCAGTACGAATGACACTTTGGACCAGAGAAGTTGTTGCTGTATTGCAGGGGCTGTCCTGTGTATTGCAGGATGTTTTGTAGCATCCCTGGTCTCTCCCCACTCGATTTTTGTAGCACCTTCCTCGTTGTGACAGCTAAAAATGCCTCCAGACATTGACAATCATTCCCTGGCAGCCCTGGTTGAGAACCACTATTCTAGAGACATCCTTTGCATATTCATGCACATATGTATTTATGAAAATATATCTATGGTGCTTGGCACATTATAGGTGCTCAAGAAATATCTATTAAGATAACTTGAGAATAAGACAATAAAGCAGGTCTTACTTTAAATGCTCCAGAGGTACAGATTACGTGTATCCTTTTTTTTCTTTGGAGTTTTGCTCTTGTTGCCTAGGCTGGAGTGCAATGGTGTGATCTCGGCTCACCACAACCTCCGCCTCCCGGGTTCAAGCAATTCTCCTGCCTCAGCTTCCCGAGTAGCTGGGATTACAGGCATGTGCCACCAGGCATGGCTAATTTTGTATTTTTAGTAGACAGGGTTTCTCCATGTTGGTAAGGCTGGTCTCCAACTTCCGACCCTCAGGTGATCCGCCCACCTCGGCCTCCCAACGTGCTGGGATTACAGGCAGGAGCCACTGTGCCCAGCCACAGATTACATGTATCCTAACACAAATACAGGATAGGAAACAATTCTTTCCTGATTTGTACTTATCTGTTTTGCTTTCAGAGAGCATAGCTTGTTGTGCCCCCCAACCTCGATTTGTCCCCATTGCTGAAGGCAGGGATGAGGGGGCTGAATGCCAGAGGCCTCAGAGGTCCACCTCCAGAAGCAGTCAGCTGCCTGCAGTAATAGAATGATGATAGTCCTTACACATGGGGTCTCCTTCCCTCCCCGCACCCTGCCTGCCTGGGCTGATAGGGTGCGAGAGGCATCAAGTATGTGCCTCCTACACCACGGCAACCCCTCCCACCTGGCATGTCCTGCTCTACAGACATCTGGCTTTTGTTCCAGGCTATGGCCTTGGTTCCGGAAAGAGTGCCCTTCCTAAGAAGGTGGGGGCAGTAGTCCAGCTTGGGCAATCGGCCCAAAGTCCATTTTGTGTCTGGTTTCTTCCTGGAGCGCAGCTGGGACTGGGATGGTCCCTGGATTTTCCATTTTTCTGGAGTGGGGTGGGTGGGGAGCTGGGAGCTGGGCAGGTGACCTGTGCAGACACTGTTAAGTCCTGCTCAGGAGGCGCTGTACCCAGGGCCTGTTTGTTAATCCCTGCTGGGCCCAGGCAGGTGTATGGGGGGGCGGTGAAGCTAGCCTTCCCAGGGAGCACACAGCAGGGACGGGGAGCTGGGCCTTGGGGAACCCTAGAGAGCAAGGCAGATTGTAGCCATCGTGAGTGCTGTGGCCTGGATGTGATTTTCTAGGAGCTCAGGCGGGGCTAGGGGCTGGGGCTGGCGGCCTCAGTTTCTCTCCACATGGGCCTGTGTGTGTGGTGGCTTTGGGATAACTTATTACATGATGGCTCACGGCTTTGAAGGCACATGTGCCAAGAGAGAGAAACCTGCAGAAGCTGTGTGGCCTTGTCCAGCCGTGAGGATGAGGTTATCTGACATGGTTTATGGTGGACTCCACCAGCCAAGGAGGTCACAGAAGCCTGCCCAGTTTCAAGATGAAGGGACACTGACTTTACCCCTCGATAGGGGTGTGCCAAGGTCACTTGTATAAGAGCAAGTGGGATGGGAGATACTGTGGTGGCTGTTTTTAGAAAATGCCATCTGCCACAGGCTGTAAGGGGTTCCAGTCCTGGACAACAGTGAGAACCAGGATCTGCCATGTGCAACCGAGTAGCCCCCAGGGCTCTCCTAAGTTCCCACTGAGTACCTCCTTGTAAGTTTTTCTTGGTAGCTCGGACAAGCCCAAGGTTGGGGCAGGTTCAATGGACCCAGATGTCCTTGAGTGTATGCTCAAGTCTGTCTTCTGTTTCTCCCACATCCCACTGACAGGAGGGTGGGGCACAGCAGGGGAGGGGATACTCAGGGTGAGTTTGCTGAGCTGCTTATTTAGGCTAGCAACTTCTGTCCGTCCCAGAATCTCCTTCTCCCACTCCTGGATCCATCCTCTTCCCTCCCTCCTTCCTTCCTCCCTTTCTCACCATAAAATCTGTTCTTGCCACTGCCTCGTGTTCCTTCTTTCTCAGCCTCTCATTGACCTGGAAACCTCCACTTCTCTGAGATTCTCTCCCTGTGGTCACTAGTCACCCTCTAATCACCAAATCCTTTCACATCTCACCTTGTTTGCTTGCCCTCTCCATAGTTTGAACAGGACCTGCCTCCCTTCTTGGAACTCTTTCTTGGGGACCCCAGAGTCTCCTCCTACCTCGCAGACTGGCTTCTTCTTTCCCAGCATGTGTCCTTGGTTCTCCTCTCTCTCATTGAACCCCACGACTTCATCTGTTCCCTGTTAGCACTGACTACATAATCTACTCCCTTCTCTCCTACTTACCCCATGAGCTCTGGATCTCACATTTCTAACACCCTCCTTGCTCTCCTGACCTGACTGCTACCTGGATGTCTCAGGTCCACTAGACCAAAGTTCAATCCAGATCTGCTTCCCACTGTGACCTATTTCTTCCCATGTCACTGAGCATCACCTTCCAATCTGTCAAGGCAGAAAGCTTAGAGCATCACTAATGGCTTACTTCTTCCTCTACCACCTTTTAATTATGGGAAATTCTAGCAAGTCTACTGCCAGAAGATCTTTTGAATACATACATTCATTCATTCATTTAGTTAGCAAATATTGATTGAGTAGGTACAATACCCCAGGCACTGTTCTAGTGGCTGGAGATATAGCAGTCAGCCGAACAAACTCCTTCCATTCTACAAGGGACAGAAAGACAATAAACAGATAAAGAAGCAAACACATGGTATGACACGTGCTGGTAAGCTGTGAGACAGTAAGGCTGGGTGAGGGCTTGAGAGAGGAGGTGGGCGGTTGTTTTATGTCAGGTGGACAGGGAGAGCCTTACTGATCAGGTGACACTTGCATAGAGACCAAGAGGAAATGCAGGTCAGCGAGGCAGACACTGGGTCTTTCTTCACCATCCCATGGCTCCTCATCCTTTCCCCTCCCAACCATAAAAAGTACCTTCAGGCTGGGCGCTGTGGCTCACGCCTTTAATCCCAGCACTTTGGGAGGCCAAGGCAGGCAGATCATCTGAAGTCAGGAGTTTGAGACCAGCCTGACCAACGTGGCAAAACCCCGTCTCTGCTAAAAATACAAAAATTAGTTGGGCATGGCGGCGTGCACCAGTAATCACAGCTACTGAGGAAGCTGAGGTGGGAGAATCGCTTGAACCCAGGAGGCAGAGGTTGCAGTGAGCCAAGATCGCACCACTACACTCCAGCCTGGGCATCAGAGCAAGACTCTGGCAAAAAAAAAAGAAAAAGAAAAAGAAGAGAAGAAAAGAAATTACCTTCCCCTTGAACTTTTGGCCTCTAATCCTATCCTTCCCTCCTCATCCCCTTTCTGTGGCTCCCTGTCTCCCGTACATTTCAAACTGGCATGCAAGGGCATTCATAACTCTCTCCAAGCCTCTTTTCCAGCGAAGTCTTCCCTCAGCCGACAGAACTTGAAATGGCCCTGTGAGCTCCACTCTTCACTGTTACGCCCCATAGAATCCCCACCTCTTGAGTGCAGGTAAAACCTGTGACTTGCTCCTAGCAAGAAGCAAGAATATGGGCTATCACTCTTTATATGATAGAAGGTTCGGTCTTAGCAGACTTTATAGAGATTCTGCCAGCCTTGAAAAGGCAGCAGCTGTGTTGGGAGGTGCCCATGGAGAAGGCCCGTAGCAGGGAACTGTGGTGGCTTCTAGGAGCTGAGGGCAGCTTCCAGCCGCCAGCCGGTAGGAAGGTGGGGCTCTCAGTTCTAGAGTCACAGGAGATGAATCCTGCTAAAATCCTGAATGAACTCAGGTGCAGATTCCTTCCTGTCCAGGTCCCTGTGACCCCTGGTGCAGCCTGGAGAGCCCCTGAGCAGAGGACCTACCCTAACTGGGTGGACCCCTGGCCCGCGGAAGCTGAGATAATAAGTGTGTGTTGTGCCTAGCCTCTCAGTTTGTGGTAGACTTACACAGCAACAGAGCATGAATCCACTCAGCCTTCGTATCCCCTGCAAACCCTCAGGACTGCCCTGCTTCCAAACAAGTTTTTTCTTTTTCATGCCCTGCTAGGAGCACAAATTCTAGGTACACAAATTCTCTAACCCTACATTTTCTCCCCAGTAAGATCGCGTTTGTCCTTCAAAGCCCCATTCAAATGCACCCTTTTCTCCATATTCTAGTTACACCCTGGTTCATCTTCCCCCCTGCCCCGCCCCCGCAACCCTGAGGGCCTGGTTCTCACCTCTCTTTAACCATGCCCGTGGCATTGGTGGCATTTGCGTGCCCGGCAGTTCCCCCACTTCCTCATCTCTCCATCTCAGGGTCTAGCTCAGTGCCTGGCTTCCAGCAAATCAAGCATTCTGAACTCGGAGTGTGCGCATGTGTGGATGGGGTTCATGGTATCCATTTCCCTAAAATCCAGTTCCCTAAAATTGCTTGGCAATTGCTGCTTAGGAGCATTTTGTTTTTCTGAGTCCCTGTCTTTCTTCAGACTCTCACAGAGGCTTGAGGTCCTGGAAAGATTAAGGCCTATAGAAGCAGGGTGTCAATGCACATTTCTTGAATTTAAGAAATTCACAAACTGGGTTGTGGCCCACTAAAAGGATTTTCATTTTCAGCTTTATGGCAAATTGTAGCTTCCCTGGAGGAATTGGAAGCATTCTCGGTGTTTTGCAGGAGAGCTGCTGTTTTGACATCTGCAAAAGCGCAGTCACGTAGGCAGCCCCAGGCTCCAACCAGGGATACAGATGGTCCAGCCTGGGGAAAGAGTGGGCAGGGTGGAGCAGGGGTGCAGGGAAGCCCGGACTCTGCTGCAGGAAGAGTGAACTGAGTGCAGAGTGGGGATGACGGGCGCAGGCAGGGCCCAGGGGGTTGGCTAATCCTGCGATGCTCCTTTAATAGTGCCAGGTGCTAGGATAGCTATTCCCCACTGCCAACTCCCCTGGGCTCTCAAGGACTGCCTTTGGCTGTGCCAGTGTATTTTTAGCCCTCCAGCAAGTGGAACAAAGTGCTCGGAGAGGCGCTGTTTCCCTCTCGGCTGCAGGCAACGCTCCGCACCTTTCTGAGCCGGTGCAAGGGCCCCCTCCAGCAGCAGAGAGGATGTGGGTCTGGCTCGCACCTTCCTCCCACGCCCTCCCTCAGGAGCCTGGGCGCGGGACGTCCTCATCGGTTGGAGAGAGGCGAGTTACCTGTGCTCCCGGTTGTTTAGGGGAGAGCGAGTGGGCTGGCCTTTCCCTAGGAGAGGACTCAGCACAGGGCAGGAGGCTGTCCTGGTGGGATCTGGCCTCTGACGACCACTCACTCTGAGGAAAAAATGATGTGTCCCAAGACCACCTCCAGTTAGGTGGGCAAGGCAGGGCGCTCTAGGCCAGGGGGCTAGGTGGACAGGTGAGCCCCTGACCACAGCCAGAAAAGCCCTCATCCCTGAAGGCTGCCATGAGGGGAGGCGTGGGTGAAAGTGGCAAGAAGCCACTTCCTGGTGACCCAGTGGTAAACACTTGAGGTCAACCTTGAGCATTGATCTGCCAAATATTTGCCTGGGTCACTGACCTAGCATACTTCCTGCCTTCATCTCCTCCCCAGCTGCAACCCGACTGCCCTACCCCTTGATCCTGGAGGGGTAGACATCATTTCCCAGAGAGGCCCTTTCCAGGCACAGTCCCCTCTCATGGGGCATGGGCTGTGGGTGAGGGTGGATGGGCTGGGGACTGGGGCAGGCATCCTCATGGGCCCTTTGAAGTGGCTACCCCAGTGAAGCTGGTCTGAAGCGGTCAAGGTTCACACAGCTGCCCACGCAGAACCAAACTCCACAAGGACCAGGCTGCCAGGGCTCCCTCCCCAACAGCTCCATCACCCGACCCTGGGAAAAAGAGAGACCTTGCCTCTCCAAGCAGGCAGGAGGAGGCCAAGGGGTCTCTGGCCAGGGCCTGGAGAGGCTCTCTCTCTCTCTCTTTCATCACACACACACACACACACACACACACACGCACACGCACACGCACGCACGCACGCACACACACACACCCTACTTCCCCTGAGTGCCCACCCTGGGTCGGTCACCATGCTAAGTTCTGCACAGACACTATACCCCACATTGTTGTAACCCTCTGTGAGTTACGTTGCTCCATTTTACCAAGTTGGAAACCAGGATTCAGAAATGTTAGGCAACCTTTCTGAGCTCACACAGCTGCGAGTGGGGAAGCTGGATGTCAGATCCCAGGCTGCCGGATGGCCTGCAGCACCCAAGAAGGAGAGAGAAGGACAAGAAGACCATGCACCTGTTCTGGGAGAGTCTGGGACAAGAGGAGATGTGAGGGCTGGTCGGAGGCAGAGCCGCTGTGCCTGCAGAGCACTGATCATTCACAATCATTTCCCAAAATCGCTTACAGGGAGAGAATTAAACCAACTTGCTTAAGTCATTGTTGTTTGGGATTTTCTGTCACTTGAAGCAAAAATGGTACTAAATAAAACACCTGTAGTCTAAGCCCCTTCCACTAGGCTGGCTGCCTGCTCTCTAAAGGCACCTCTTTCTGTGCCTGGCTGTTCCACAGGCTGCAGCCTTCCCTCTGGCTGTGGCTATCTCTGTATTTCCTTCAAGGCCCAGCTGAAAAGACCACCTCCTCCATGATGCCTTATGTAATTTCTACACATCAGAAATGATGAGTTCCTTTCCCTGCTGTCTCCAGTCTCTCAGTTTATTTCTTGTATTGAAGTCATCATGCCTGATTGGCATGTGATAATCTTCCATTGTGTATCTGTCTTACTCCTCAAGTTGGAAGAGACAGTATTTCCTTCAGCTTAACGGGGATGGTGTGTGGGTAAACCAGCTCTCCAGGAGAAAAAGCACCCTGATTTGTAGTGCTAGCCAATTCCCATGGTGTAAACGCTCCCACCATGGTCAGTTTCAAGCTATGATGGTTTAACAACTGGCTCAAAAAATTCCTGAGCATTTAACAGTTGGCTTTCATGAGTCAGTGCTAGCAGGCTCCAGCTTGCTACTGCTTAGGGTCTGCCCACTGCAGAGGCTTAAGGCTTGCATTTAGTAGGTGTGCAACAGGCTGGTGCCACAAACTCTTACTTGGGTGTATTATTTGATTCAACACTTTTTTTTTTCCTGAAACCCCTACTTTGTTCCTAGAAGAATTTTAAATGGATATAGGGGAAGATCATTTGCAAACATGGTGACAATCCTTCCCCCTCCCTAAATCTATGCCCCTTTCCAATGTGACTTTGTAGCTTCTGGGGCTGATTTCCAGTCCTTGAATCAGGGATGGCCTTTTGACTTGACTTAGCCATTGGAATATGTTGGGAGTCACCTTATGACAGTTCCAAGCCTGGGCCTCAAGAGGCCCTGAGTACTGCTGCTCTTGTCTTGGGAGCCTGTTGGTTACCATGGATAAAGCCCAGGCTACTGTGCATAAAGCTCAGGCTATGCTGCTGAGGATGAGAGACCACGTGGAGCAGAGGCATACCGTCTCAGCTGAGCCATCCCAGATCAGACAGGCCCAGCAAACCCAGCAGCTGGCCAAAGACATAGGAATGAGCCCAGCTAAGCACAACCCAAATGGCTAATATGAGGACTCATGAGCTAAATAAACAATAGTTATTTTAACCACTACATTTTGGAGTGGTTTGTTATGCAGCAAAAGCTGATACACCATCTTTGCATTCAGAAGTAGCTTAGCTTTTGACTGGAATGTCCATCTCTATCTGAGTGAGATATAGATAGCTTCATATTCCCTGCTATCCATCAGCCAAGAGCAAGAAGACCAAGTGTCAGCACCGTTGGCCCTCCCAGCACGTAAGTTCCAGTAGAGTCTTACATCTCTCCCTAAACACAGCCTACAGGAACCTGGAAGATGTGGACGTTCTGGCTCCCTGATGGAAAAGTTGGACAAGAGGCATGGAGTCTGTGTCTATACACCAGAGTTAAGGTGAGCTCTCCTTGCCTTTGACTTTGCCTGTGCCGTGAAGTCATGCGGCTGGAGCTGCTCTTTTCCTATTAGTCAATGAAGACTTAACTGCCATTTGTGGGAAATGTCCAGCCAGGAATGGGAAACTCACAAATTCTTCTCTTTTCTGCCCCATAGAATTATTATTATTATTATTATTACTATTTTTTTTTTGATAGGACAAGAGGATCCTAATGTATCTGGGTTGGGGAAGAGAGAAAGAGCTGTGTGTTAAAGCTAACAATAATTTTCTACTTTCAGTTCAAGAGTAAAATCTCTCCTGTAATCTGTGAAGGAGTGTGTGAAAAACAAAACAAAACCCAACCTGCCCTCCAGGTTTGAACTGTAGAAACTCTGTGGTAGAAAAAAAAGGCATTCTAGGGAAGAAGAGAGGAAGCAGGCCATGAAACAGATTTGCAGCTGCAGGACGTGGTGGTGTGTGGTTCCCCTCTAACCAGCTGTGTGACCTTGGGCAAATCTCCCGGCCCCACTGGGACTGCATATCACATGGGGCTGGACTAGAGAACCCCACTCCCTAGAGGATACAGTATTTTTATGAGGGAGAGCTGGAGAGGCTCCTGACTTTTGACTGTTTACCCCTGGAGGTGTGTACAACCACGTGCCATTGACAGACAATGTACCCATTGTATGACAGGGAGGTAGTGGTGCCTTCCCCAAGTTATAATTGGCCTTGGGACACAGTCAGTACATACACACCCTACATTAGACACTCCATCACTGAGCAACTCAGTGCCTCTCATTCACAAGCTGTGTGATCCTAGGAGGTTATTCCACTTCTCTGATCTTCCATTTCTTTCTGTCCCTCCCTCCCTCCCTCCCTCCTTCCCTCCCTCCCTCCCTCCCTCTCTGTCTCCCTCTCTCTCTCTTTCTTTCTTTCTTTCTCTCTTTTTCTTTTCTTTCTTTCTTTTCTCTCTTTCTCTCTTTCTTTCAACAGGGTCTCACTCTGTCACCCAGGCTGGAGTGCAGTGGCATGATCTCGGCTCATTACATCCTCAACTTCCTGGGCTCAAGTGACCCTCCCACCTCAGCCTCTGGAGTAGTTGGGACTACAGGCATGCACCACCATGCTTGGATAATTTTTTTTATTATTTGTAGAAATGGGGTTTCACCATGTTGCCCAGGCTGGTCTTGAACTCCTGGGCTCAACAGATCCTCTGGCCTTGGCCTCCCAAATTGCTGGGATTACAAGTGTGAGGCACCACATCCAGCCTGATTTTCCATTTCTTCCTCTAAAGTGTCATGTCATGTGAAACTTTTACAATGCTGGATTGTAAGAAATATTGAATGAAAAAACATATATAGTGATACTGTATGATTCAATACATAGAACATATACAGAAGCTTATTTTTATCTATTCACTTACAGGAAATCATGTTGACCAGAAGGTCTAATTTGGCCTCAAGCAGCCACACTACACTCAGACCTTCTGGGATTTTTCATTTTTCAGTTTCAGGACTTTTTTGTTCAGTTATATGTGTACTGGAACAATCTTTTTTTTTTTGGCTATAATTTTTTTTAGGTTTTATGGAACACCCTTGGTGCTTATCTCAAAGGGTTATCAAAAGGATTACATGAGGCCAGCCATGGTGGCTCACACCTGTAATCCCAGCACTTTGGGAGGCCGAGGCAGGTGGATCACGAGGTCAGGAGATCGAGACCATCCTGGCTAACATGGTGAAACCCCGTCTCTACTAAAAATACAAAAAATTAGCCGGGCATGGTGGCGGGCGCCTGTAGTCCCAGCTACTTGCCAGGCTGAGGCAGGAGAATGGTGTGAACGTGGGAGGAGGAGCTTGCAGTGAGCCAAGATGGCGCCACTGCACTCCAGCCTGGGAGAAACAGTGAGACTCCATCTCAAATAAATAAATAAATAAATAAAATAAAAAAGGATTACATGAAATAATCCACCTAAAGCATGAAGGTTAGTTCCTGGACCAGTGGATGCTTCATCTATGGCAGCTACTATAGTGACTTCCCCACAGTGCTGGATGTTTGCTCTTGCTAATGCGGGGATTGATCTCCAGCTCTGGCTGGCAGGGCCTCTCAAGAACCCAGCCATCCTGGTTCCCCAGACCACAGGTCATCTCCCCACCTAAGATCATTCTCCCACAGTCCCCTCCTGTTGGGGACAGGGTGACAAAGACTTCTCCCTTGCCGCTCATGCTCTCCATTTCTGTAGGAATCAGAAAAGACGCAAAGCTGTCAGCTGAGACAATCTTCTGCCTTCAGGTAGGCACAGGGCCCTTCTCATCCCCATCACACAGCTCAGGCGGTGGAGACTGTCACTTTCCTGTTTGTCCTCAGATCCATCCCTCATCCTTCTCTGCTGTGCTGTGTTGCACGGCCCTGACCTCTGTGGACTACATTTCCCAGGCTCCCCTGCACCCTGGCTTCCTGACAAGTTCAGTCAATGGGAAGCAGTGGCAGGAGATTGAGCTTGGTAGAAGAGAGAAGCCAGGAATATTCTCTCTCCAGCCCTTTCTGTTTCAGGTGATGCCTCCAGCAGTGGCCAAGTCTCCTCCACAACTTCGGCTCCTAATAATACCCTCTCTTCCCTTGTTCCTCTAGCCCTGGGGAAGTAGCAGTTTCTACTTTCTGGGTTGCTCTACCCTCCCGTTTAGGTTTTCAGCTCTTCCATCACCTTTGCAACTACAGGTGACCCTTGAACAACATGGGTTTGAACTGCACAGGTCCACTTCTACATGGATTTTTTTCAATAAACATTTTTTGGAGATTTGTGATAATTTAAAAAAGCTTGCAGCATGGTCTAGAAATATCAAGAAAATTCAGGAAAAGTTAGGTATGTCATGAATGCATAAAATATATGTAGATAGGAGTCTATTTTATCATTTACTACCATAAAATATACACAAATCTATTCTAAAAAGTTAAAATTTATCAAAACTTACACATACGGACACAGACCATACATGGTGCCTTTCAATCAAGATAAATGGAAACAAATGAAGATACAGTATTAAATCATAACTGCATCGAATTCACTGTACTGATACCATACTACTGTCATAATTTCATAGCCACCTCTTGTTGCTATTGTGGCAAGCTCCTGTTGCAAGTATCCACTTAAACACCATATGATGCTGATCATCTCCCTGTGAGCAGTTTGTCTCTAATGATACACTGCATATTGCAGTGAAAAGTGATCTCTTCTGGTTCTCGTGTATTTTTCTTTGTGTGCAGTGCATACCATAAACCCTGAATAGCACCATGAGACCCACATGAAGTGCCACTAGTGGTGCTGGGGGTGCTCCCAAGAAGCAGAGGAAAGCCATGACATTACAAGAAAGTTGAATTGCTTGATGTTTACCATAGATTGATGTCTGCAGCTGAGGTTGCCAGCTATTTCAAAAACAAATGAACCAGCCTAACAACCATTGCAAAAAACAAAAGGAAATTCGTGAAGCCATTTCTGGGCCAGCAGGCACAAAAACTTTGCACTTTTTTTGCAAAATTCCTTTCATATTGAAAATGCAGCTTTCATGTGGGTGCAGGATTGCATACCTAGAGACTCTAATATGATTCACGAAAAAGCAAAGTCGTTTTATGACAACTTAAAGCAAAAGGGTGTTGGAGGATCTAAAGCTGGAGCATTTAATGATAGCAAAGGATGGTTTGATAATTTTAGAAAGAGGTTTGGCTTAAAAAATGTCAGGATAACAGGAGAAGCAGCTCCTGCTGACCAAGAGGCAGCAGACGAGTTCCCAGATGCCATTAAGAAATGATTTAAGGGCCGGGCGCAGTGGCTCACACCTGTAATCCCAGCACATTGGGAGGCCGAGGCAGGCGGATCACAAGGTCAGGAGATCGAGACCACGGTGAAACCCCATCTCTACTAAAAATACAAAAAATTACCCGGGCGCGGTGGCGGGTGCCTGTAGTCCCACCTACTTGGGAGGCTGAGGCAGGAGAATGGCTGAACCCGGAAGGCGGAGCTTGCAGTGAGCCGAGATCGCACCATTGCACTCTAGCCTGGGCGACAGAGCGAGATCCCATCTCAAAAAAAAAAAAAAAGAAAAAAGAAAAAAAGAAATGATTTAAGAAAATCATTGAGGAGAGAGGATGTCTACCTGAACAGGTTTTTAAATACAGATGAAGGTACTCTATTCTGGAAAAAAAAATGGACAAAGAACATCTATTAGTAAGGAAGAGAAGTGAGCACCAGGATTTAAGGCAAGAAGGGTTGGGCTAACTCTATTGTGTTGTACAAATGCAGTAGGTTTGTGATTGGGACTGCTCTTATCTATAAAGCTGCTAAACCCTGATCCTTGAAGGGGAAAGATAAGCACCAGTTGCCAGTCTTTTGGTTGTGCAAGAAGGCCTGGATAAGGAGAGCTCTTTTTCTATACTCGTTCCTTCGATGCTTTGTTCCTGAAGTCAGAAAGTACCTTGTGAGGTAGGGACTGCCTGTTAAAGTTCTCTTGACCCTGGACCATGCCCCTCGCCACCCAGAACCCCATGAGTTCAACAGCGAAGGTGTCAAAGTGGTCTCCTTTCCCCCAAACACAATGTCTCCAATTCAGCCTCTAGATCAGGTCATAAGAACCTTTAAAGTTCAATACACACAGTATTCCATGGAAAGGATTGTCAGTGCTATGAGAGAGAACCCCAATAGAGAAAATATCATGAAAGTCTGGTGGGATTACACCATCGAAGATGCCGTTGTTGTTATAGAAAAAGCTGTGAAAGCCATCAAGTCTGAGACATTAAATTCCTGCTAGAGAAAACTGTGTCTAGGTGTGCATGACTTCACAGGATTTATGACAGAGCCAATCAAGAAAAGAGATTGTGAGTATGGCAGCAAGGTTGGGGAGTGAAGGGTTTCAAGATATGGATTTTGGAGAAATTCAAGAGCTAACAGACACCACACAAAGGAATTAACAGAAGACAACTTGATAGAGATAAATGCTTCTGAACCAGAGCCGGACAATGAGAAACAAGACATGGTAGTGGATTATCAGAACTTATTAACGTTAGTGTCACTGAAGTTGGTATACAACCCCCACTGCTAAATTTGACTGGCTCAGGAAAAAAAAAGAACATAGAAGACGCAGTGTGAGAAAAGAGACTGACATTAGACAATCTGGCAGAAGGGTTCCAATGACTTAAGATTGTTGACCAGGTGCAGTGGCTCACACCTGTAATCCTAGCACTTTGGGAGGCTGAGGCGGGTGGATCACCTGAGGTCAGGAGTTCGAGACCAGCTTGACCAGTATGGTGAAACCCCATCTCTACTAAAAGTACAAAAATTAGCCAGGTGTGGTGACGTGTGCCTGTAGTCCTAGCTACTTGTGAGGCTGAGACAGGAGAATTGCTTGAACCTGAGAGGCAGAGGTTGCAGTGAGCCAACGTCGTGCCATTGCACTCCAGCCTGGGTGACAGCAGGACTCCAACTCAAAAAAAAAAAAAAAGTCAGTTTTGACTTTTTTTACCACATGGACCCTTCTATGGTTTGGGCACTGAAACTAAAGCAAATGGTGGAAGAAGAATTGGTACTGTACAGAAACATTTTCAGAGAAATGAGAAAGGAAAAAAGTCAAACAAAAATGATGATATATTTCCATAAAGTTACACCGAGTGTGCCTGCCTCTCCCGCTGGCCCTTCCACCTTCTCATCCTCTTCTGCCTCTGCCACGCTGAGACAGCAGGACCAATCCCTCCCCTTCCTCCTCCTCCTCAGCCCACTCAGCATGGAGACAATGAGGATGAAGACCTTTATGATGATCCACTTCCACTTAATGAGCAATAAATTTATTTTTTCCTTCATATGATTTTCTTAATAACATTTTCTTTTCTCTAGCTTATTTTATTGTAAGAATACAGTAATAATATTTATAACGTATAAAATATGCATTAATCAACTGTTTGTGTTATCAATAAGGCTTCCGGTCAACAGTAGGCTATTACTAAACTTTTTGGGGAGTCAAGAGTTATATGTGGATTTTCAATTACGTGAGGAGTTGATGACCCTAACTTCCTCATTGTTCAAAGGTCAAGCTGTAGTTTCTAGTATTAATTCACTATTGAACTACTTGGCTGGGGCTCTATTTTTCTGGTGGGGCCCTGAGTGCTGCAGCTACCATGGTCAGATATCTACGTATATCTGAATGTTCTCACCACGTAACCTCCAAATGGCCACAAGTTTGCAAAAAAATTTTCATAGGAATTTTTCCAGGGCAGCTTGCATGCTGACTCTGTGCTGGAGGGCAGATGGCCACACTTCCTGTAGTAAGCTGTTTGTAAGCAAAAATAGCCATAGTTATTCCCTCCCCTATCATATCCCTTCACGATGTGCCTTTGCTGCTCCTCCCATCAACAGATGGAGTCTATTTCTCCACCCCTTGAATCCACGCTGGTCTTGCGACTTGGCCAATAGAATGTGGTGCAACCAAGTCCAGACCTCAAGAGGCCCAGCACACTTCCATTGCTCCCTTGGAAACCCGTCCAACCTGTGCTGTGAACATGCCTGGGCCAGCCTCCCAGAGGAGGCGAGAATGCAAAGCAGAAGGAGCCGTTCCCGCTGAGACCATCGGGACCAGCTAGTGCCCAGATGAGCCAGCAGCTCCCTCCAGATGCAGGGGTGAGGCCCATTTGAGGCCAGCTGAGCCCAGTCCAGATCCAAAGAACCATTCAGACCATCCACAGACTTGTGAGTAAAAGTAAACCGTTGTTATCTTTAACTACTACATTCTTGGGATGATTTGTTATACAGCAGTAGCGGATACGCCCCACGTGTGGGTGACGGCAGGAAGTAGAGAATTCCACATTTGCTTCTGACTCATAACACGTTCTGTGTCCAGGAGTCTCCAGTGCCAACAGGGATCTCCAGGGCAGCAGCAGGAAGTCCAGTCTAGCTGGCTCTGACCTCAGTGGCCAGCTGAGGAAAATGTGAGTGTATGGTTGAGTAATTGCATCTAGTCAAGTTTAAGGTGTGGGTGCTGGATATAGTCCTCAGCTCCTGGAGTGATCCTGGGTGCTAAGGGGGTCTGCTCTGTGGTAGGGACTCTCTGGGGTGGGGCAACCCTCTCCCCTCTGCTGCATTTAGTAGAAAAGTGAAGCACAGAAAGGCTGCCAGCTGCCTGCCCTCAATCGTCTTTCCTGATCTTACCAGTTACAGAGTCTGTATTATTAAGCATAGCACAGTCACCTTTCCTGGCCTCCTTTATGACAAGGGTGGCCAGTCTAAGCAGAAATCACTGGGTGGGGACTTTAGCCTGGGTAGGAGGCCTCCCTTTTCCCTCTCCTTCCCTTCCCACCTCCCAGTCCCCTTCATGCTGAGGTGCCCTGGGCACACACATCTGGCCAACCACACTCCATCATTCTCTTGCAGACAGCGTCCCCTTGGCCACCCTCAGGACGAGGGGTACCTTCTAGAAGGGGATGTGTGTGATCATCTAGCTGGGCATGTCCCCTTGGCCTCACCAACTCCTTACTCTGGGGAGGACTATGGCCCAGAAGAGCCAGCATGGAGTTCGGCAGGGCCTGAGGCCCGGGGCAGGGGCCTCACCCAGCAGGTCAAAGCCCAGCACGATTGCAGGGCTTCCTGGTGTCACTGCAGACCTGGCTCTCTGGGGACACCAGAGTTACCCTGCTTCCCAGTGGACTCATTCCTGATTCCTTGGACCATTGGAAGCTCATTCCCCTTTTCCAAGGAATGACAATTCATGTCTTTCCAAGTTAACTTCCTATTCCCACCCATTCTGCGATGTAGCTGACAATGGCTTTCTCTAAAGAAGCAAAAACCCTAAGTTGGATCTCTGCTAGGCACCCCCTTTGGAAGGTGACAGAGGGACATTTCAGCCCATCCTGAGCATGTCCCCCTCCTTGGTCCTCAAAAGTCACAGGCCCATGCCTTGCCTACCTGATTCATGTGACCCTGTCCCCGCACCTGCAGGCATAGCACCTGCCATCCCTTCCTGTTTGAGACCATCCCGGAGGCCCTCAGCTCCCAGCTGCCCCTCCCATCCTGGGTCTCTGCTGCTCAGTATGTTATCCAGGAAGCATGGGGCAGATGTTTTTGCCAAACCACTGGGCTGTGGCTAACCTGTAGGGGTGGTGAGGGTGACTGCACAGGTGTGTGCAGTTCCCCTCCACCTCCCAGCCATCTGGGCTCTCTGGGGGGAGCAAGTTACATATATATTTATATCAGCAGGGACTGTGGAACCCCCAGCAATAAACACTGATGGCTAAGGACTTTGGGTGCATGTTATCCACTGAATTAAACTCCTCTCCAGCTGCCTTGAAGGTTGAGAGGCTCAGTCTATAGTATTAGCTACAAGCTCTTGATGAGAGCTCAAAGGTCTGTTCCATTACTGATGAGAAAACCAAGGCTCAGAGAGGAGCAGGGACTGGATCCAAGCATTCTGACTCCAGGGGCCTTTCTGAGGGCCCAGGTGGGTCTGGCTTCATAGGCTTCCTCCAGGGAAGTGTGAACTCTGCAAACTGCAGCCTCTCCTGAGGGTATGGAGCTGCTTCTGAGGTTTTGAAGGGAGCTTCTGGAAGCCTTCCTGAGAGCTGAGCTCCTGGGTGCCGACGGGTTGCCCAGTGCTCAAGGGGATGGGCTGGGCCTCCCAGCCTGTGGTTACAGAGGGAAATGCTCTTTGGAGCCCACCCTGAGACGACACCTGCAGTGCATGTTCTGGGGCCCAGACAGAAGGCACCCCTGCTCCTGGAAGGCGTTATTGGGAGCTGCTCAGAGGAGGAGGCCAGAGACACCCTTGTGAGATGGTTGTGCTAGGAAAGTTTTGGAAATCCGATTTTCAAAGTGAAGCAGTGAGCCTGTGTGTACGATGTGCATAATAGTTGTGCGTGTACATACATGTATGTGATGTGTACATGTGTAGGTGCACGTGTGGATATGTGAGTGTGTATGTGCATGAGAGGTGTGTTTATATGTGTGTGAATGTGTGAGCAAATATGTGAGTGTGTATGTGCATGAGAGGTGTGTTTATATGTGTGTGAATGTGTGAGCAAATATGTGAGTGTATGTATGCACATGCATCATGGGCAGGCGTGCTTGTGAGGGTGTGTGTGTGTCTTTGTGTGTGTATATTTATGTGTGCCATATGTGTAAGTGCATGTGTCTATTTGTGCACCTGAGGTTTGCGTGCATATGTGTGAGGGTATGTTAAGAATAGCCCAGACCATGGCATGTGAATGGTGCCTGGTTTTGTCCACTTCCAGGGAAGGAGGGAGCAGGACGGTGACACGCCATCTGTATTGGCCAGTCCTCTTTCCTGCCACCATTCTTTTGCCCCAACTTTCTTTCTGTTAAGCCTTCATCTGGGGCCTGCTACCGTGTAATATTGCCTAAAGATGATCTGTCCTTCCCAGTAACAAAGCAGTGCATGCTCCTCACAAAAAACTGGAAAATAGGCCAGGTGCAGTGGCTCACACCTGTAATCCCAGCACTTTGGGAGGCCAAGGCAGGAGGATTGCTTGAGTCCAGGAGTTCGAGACCAGCCTGGGCAATGTGGCGAAACAAAAAATACAAAATTAGCTAGTGGGATGGCATGCACCTGTAGTCCCAGCTACCCAGGAGGCTGAAGTGGGAGGATGGTTTGAGCCCCGGAAGCGGAGGTTACAGTGAGCCAAGATCGCATCACTGCACTCCAGCCTGGGCGACAGAGCCAGACCCTGTCTCAAAACAAGCAAACAAAAAACCCCCCAAAACCGACAACAACAAAACCTTCTGGAAAATAGAGAAGAGCACAAAGAAGGAAATAAAAATTGCCTTTAGTCCCCAAAACCAGAGTGCTGGCTGTGGCTTAATAGAATGTTCTTCTGCAGCTGGGACTTAGGGAGCCGAGGAGGAGAGGGAAACACGAGCACCATCATCATCCGAGGGCCCTTGACCCTTGGCCCCACACGGGCTAAGCCTTTGGAACTTCAAGGTCTCTTACATTGTTATGTTGTTGCTGTTGTTGCTGTTGTTTTGTTGTTGGATTCTTCATGATTCACAAAGTCCTGGAGGTGACCAGTTTGGCCTGAGCTGTGAAAACCGATATAGTGACCTGGGTTTAAATTAGGTCTCCACCAACCTAAAAGTTGTCTCATCTTGGTTGGCTCAGTCATTTAACCTCTTCAAAGTGAAGCAGTGAGCCTGTGTGTATGATGTGCATAATGGTTGTATGTGTGCATATGTGTATGTGATGTGTACATGTGTAGGTGCAGGTGTGGATATGTGAGTGTTTCCTCAGTTTCCTCATCTCTACAATGGGGTAAAAACAATGACCTTGAAGGGCAGTTGTTGGGGTAGACATTGTGTCTGGCCTCCTCCTGTTTTCTCTCAGACCCTTTTCTCTCCTTTCTGCTTTCTGTTCTACAGTGTGGAGAGGGTCCCTTCCAGGGCCCCTGCCCTCTGGCTTCAGATAGGCTTGGACAAGTGAGTAGAAGCCTGGAGGGCAGAGGCGGGGAGAGCTCAGGGTGTGTCTCCCTGCTCTGCTTCTGGGGGTGTGTCAGGCAGTGGCTGCCTCTCTGCTGCGGCTCCAGCTCCTGCCAGAGGCCCCAGAACCATCAACTCTGATGACCCCACCTTGTCCCTTTGTCCTTTCCTGTCCCAGCCCTAGTGATGGTAGCAGTGGCTTCCTGTTGTTACTAACCTCTGGGTGACCTCGACATCCTCATATGGCTGTTCATCAATTCAAAGCTGCAAAACAAGTTCCCTCTATTAAACTCCCTGGGTTGGAAGATCTAGCATGGTTTTGGTTTTGTGCTGGGACCCTGATCCGTACAGAAATGACAAGCAGGGCAGTGTCTGGTGCCAAGAGGAGGGTCAATGTGTAGCACTCAGGTCTAGAGCTGTGGCCCCTCGTGGGCTTATGACAACATCACCAGCTAACCCCTTCTCTCAAGCGAAGAGCTCAACCCTGCCTTCTCGCCTTTCTTGATCAAAGCCCTGACTTAGCTCTTCGGCATTTTTTTTTTTTTTTTTTTTTTTGAGATGGAGTCTTGCTTTGTCATCAGGCTGGAGTGCAGTGGTGCGATTTTGGCTCACTACAATCTCCATCTCCTGGATTCAAGCAATTCTTCTGCCTCAGCCTCCTGAGTAGCTGGGACTACAGGCCTGCGCCACCACACCCAGCTAATTTTTGTATTTGTTTGTTTGTTTTTTGTTTTTTGTTTGAGACGGAGTCTCACTCTGTCACCCAGGCTGGAGTGCAATGGCATGATCTTGGCTCACTGCAAGCTCCGCCTCCCAGGTTCACACCATTCTCCTGCCTCAGCCTCCCGAGTAGTTGGGACTATGGGCACCCACCACCATGCCCGGCTAATTTTTTGTATTTTTAGTACAGACTGGGTTTCACCATGTGGGCCAGGATTGTCGTGATCTCCTGACCTTGTGATCCACCCGGCTTGGCCTCCCAAAGTGCTGGGATTACATGCGTGAGCCACTGCACCCAGCCTCTTTTGGCATTTTTAGTAACATGACCCAGTGTAAGGGAATGGGCTCTGGCAGCCCTGGGTTTGAACCTAGATTCACTATTAGTAGCTGGGTGACCTTCAGCAGGCCGCGTCAACTCAGCTGCATTATCTAAGCTCAGGGGATAAGAATACCTAATTCACAGAGATGGTATTTGTAAAGTACTCAATAGAGAGTAAACAGTCAGGTGTGAGGGCTCATGCCTGTAATCCTAACACTTTGGGAGAATGAAGCAGGAAGATTGCTTGAGCCCAGGAGTTAGAGACCAGCCTGGGCAACATAGCAAGATCCCATCTCTAAAGAAAGAAAGAAAGAAAGAGAGAAAGAGAGAGAGAGAGAAGGAAGAAAGGAAGGAAGGAAGGAAAGAAAAGAAAGAAAAGAAAGAAAGAAAGGAAAGAAAGAAAGAAAGAGAAAGAAAGAAAGAAAAAGAAAGAAAGAAAGAAAAGAAAGAAAAGAAAGAAAAGAAAAAATTAGCCAGGTGTGGTGGTGCATGCTTGACCTGCTCAAGGTCACCCAGCTAGTAATAGTGAATCTAGGTTCAAACCCAGGGCTGCCCTACTGCAGAGCCCAGTAATCCCAGCCACTTCCGAGGCTGAGGTGGGAAGATGGCTGTAGCCTAGAAGTTGGAGGCTGCGGTGAGCTGTGATTGCGCAATTGCACTCCAGCCTGGGCAAGAAGTGAGACCCTGTTCTCAAAAAAGAAAAAAAGGAAAAGAAAAAAAAGTATGGTGTCGTGTTTGTTGACTGTTATTAATCAATATTATCACCACAGACCCTTCCTTCAAGAACGTGGGATCTTTTCACCCGGTTGTGTGCGAGTGGACATTGAAATGGCTCACTTCTGGTCTTTCTAATATCTCTTGATATGAAGAGTGCAAAGACTGCTGGGAAAGATGGGAACATTTGCACAGGGGCTGAGAATCATGGGAAGAAAAGGGAAGAGACCCAGAACCTTTCCTTTCAATGTTGGCCTGAAAACATCTTGAGTAGATTGAGATCATCACCAAAAGGCTGGGGACCATGATGGAGAGCTGAGTCTGGTGGAGTTGAATTTGCCCACACTGGGCCCACAGGTTTGCTTCTACCTGGCATGTCTTTTCATTTCTTGTCCATCCAGCAAACTTCTATACATCCTTCAAGACCCAGCTGAGTTAAGGCCTATGGTGACCTTTGGTGACATCTCCAGTAGAATTAAACCCCATCATTCCTTCTGCTCTCAGCACTTGCGCATACTTCAGTGGTGGTGCCTACACACCCTCTTCTGTGAACTCTTAACGGCTCACACATCCTCCCGTCACCATGCCTGTCACATCCCTGCAGGAGTAGGAGGAGCCATGAGGGTAGTTGGTAACTGCTGAGCACTCACTGCATGTCAGGCACTGTGCTGTGTGTGTGATGCGTGTCACCCCACTGGCCCTCACCACTTCCTATGGGGTGTCACCACTTTACAGATGAGGGGACAGACAGGTGTACAGACCCATCGCTACCTGACTCTGGAGGCTGCATTCTCAACCTCCCTCATTTTGCTTGTGAACCCCAGAGAAAAGGGATCGGCTTATACCCTCCTTTGGGTACCCAGTAGCTGGCAGGATGCCTGTCACCAAGTGGTCACTTAAATGTCGGGTGAAATAAAGGAACATTCCACGGTGCTGACATGCCAAGGTTTATGAAACCACTTCCCTTATGTTGCTGTGAATATTTCTGAGCACAGCTCTCTTTCTTGGGCTGGATTATTTTCTTTGGGTCAGTTCCTGGGAGTGGAATGACTGGGCCACGTCATCTTCCACCTCCCAGAGCCGCTGGCAGTGAAGGAATAAAGCTGTTCTTTGCTGCCTTGCAGGCCAGGCCCTCTTCTCACCTTGATGTGGCTCCAATGCAGGCGCCCTGGCAGGCCTGAGACAGCTACACTGAGTCCTCTGGAGCCAGCGGTGGGGCCCTGTGCGGTCAGCGAGCCAGGATCCCCAGCACCACCCAGCACCCACAGCCCTTCCTCCAAACCCTCCCCAGCTGCCTCATTGGCAACTGGATTCTGTCTGGGGGCAGGGATCAGACCTGCAGGCATCCTCCCTGACCACACCACTGCCTCTGGCTTCCTTATTTGGAGGGTAAGAGATGAGGAGGTAGGAGAAGAGAAGAGGGCGGATGGAGGCAGCACAGGGAAGAAAGGATTGGGCAAAGGAGGGCAGGCCATAGGGAAGGGGTGGCCCCGAGTCCGTGCCTGGGGGTTAAACCTCCAGCACCCCATCTCATTTCTCCAGGGCTGGGGCAGATGGCCCTCCCGATTTCTGCAGACCTTCCTCCAAATCCTCAGCTCACAGAGGGAAAGGCGAATTCTCACTCTGGACAGGGACTCTGACCTCAGGTCCCTCGGCTGTGCTGAGAGCTCAGGGGTGGGAGAAAGCAGGCAGAGGGATGCTGGTGCCCCTGCCCTTCCCATGAAGACCCCCTTTTTCTCTGTCTCCTCTCCTTTCCATCCATTTATTTCCTTATCTTCCTTTATGGGTATTTCCACTCCAGTTACAAATGGGAGAAGACCAGGGATGCCCAGTTAAGACCAGAGACATCTCGTTTAGCACAGAGTCACCCAATTTAACTCAGAGACACCTGGTTAAGGGTGTCCTGACCAGTTGAGACCAATTTTTGTATGTTTTATGGTTGCCAGATAAAATCCAGGATGCCCAGTTCAATTTGAATTTCAGATGGGCAATGAATAATATTTTTAGTATAAGTATGTCCCAAATATTGCACAGGACACACACTAAAAAAAATTCATTGTTTATCTGAAATTCAAATTGAACTAGGCATCCCATATTTTTATTTGCTAAATCTGGCAAAGACAGTGCATTTCTCTTCTTTTCCTGAATTTTAAACTCTTGGGATTCGGCATCTGCCTCCCATCCTACTCCACCAACCAGCTTCCCTCTTCCACCTTTTTGGTGGAAATTTGACTTCTCTTAAACCCGTGCTCTTTTTAATTTCTCTCCTTCCCTGGGTTTTATTTAGTTAAACAAAGTCACACTGGGTCTCCATTTCAAAGTGTTTGATGTTATTACTAGATACTGGGGTTGAGGCAGTCTAAGCTTTTCGAAAGGTTTCTTCAGGACATTGGAGGGAAATTAAACCTTGGAAAATATGCTTGACATTTTTTTTTTCTTTCTAAAAAGAAAGTCTGTGCGTTCAGTTCCCTTATGGTCACGGGAGCACAAACAGTGGAGTTAAGGCCAAAAAGCTCATTTCTCAAGCCGCCACCAGCTGCAGCCCCGGCCAATAAATGATTTATCTCCAGCTGCACGGGCCACTTTCTCAGGGTTTCCATCCTCAGCTGAGCTTGTTCAAAGAGGCCTCGAACTTGTAGGCTCAGAGGGATCCGAGGAACTAGCTAGACCAGAGCTTCCCAAACTACCATGTCCAACAGGTCACTGGGGGAGCTTTCACCAGTCCCATGCTCAGGCTGACACAGCCTCATCAGCTCAAAATCACTGGAGCTGAGACCCAGCCATCACGGAAAAAAAAAATAAACTTGGCCAGGCGCGGTGACTCATAATCCCAGAACTTTGGGAGGCCGAGGCGGGTGGATCACTTGAGGTCAGGAGTTCGAGATCAGCCTCGCCAACATGGGGAACCCCCATCTCTACTAAAAGTACAAAATTTAACCGAGTGTGGTGGCACACGCCTGTAATCCCAGCTACTCTGGAGGCAGAGGTAGGAGAATTGCTTGAACCTGGGAGGCAGAGGTAGGTTGCAGTGAGCCAAGATCACACCACTGCACTCCAGCCTGGGTGACAGAGTGAGACACTGTCTCAACAACAACAACAACAAACTCCCAGATGATTTTAGATTGAGACCCAGTGAACCAGAGTGGTGCTTCTCAATGGCTCCTGGAAGTTGATGGACAAGGACCCCAGCTCCCCGCCTGTTGGTTGCAACAACTCTGAAGTATGTGACCCTCTTCTATTGGTCACCCCTGTCCTCAGTAGCCCATCCTCCCACAGCAGTAACTGGCTCCAGTAAGCCCCCTTTCTTGGCTTCTCTTCCCTGTTTCTCTTCCACATTTCTCTATGGTGCTTCTTGAGATCACCTCCCAAATCACCTACTTGTACTCAAATCCTTCTCTCTGATTTTGACCGTGGTTTATGATAGGTCACTGTTGCCCACAGATGGATGGTTTAAAATGCAAATTCTCAACTTAACAGGCTGCCCAGAATGGCAGAAGACCCCAGTTTTTGGAGCCAGGCAGACAAGGCACAAATCTTAGTTTGGTGGCTTAGACATTCTAAATTACTGTGGCATTTTCCGAGTCTCGGTTTTTAAAATCTCTAAATTGGGGTTAATAATGGCTGCCTGTTGGGGTTGTTGAAGAGGATAGAATAAAACAGCTTCTGTAGAAGGTAGAATAATAATTTCCTATTTTCACTTCCCTGTAGTAGCATTAATATTAGATGTCCACACTCTTGCTATGGCCTCAGGTGGCAGAGTATACTTAATGTCCCTTAGCTTTGGTCTTAGCCATGTGACTTGCTATGGTCAAGGATGTTGACAGTCATGATGTAAGTGAAGGCTTGAGTGGGCTTGTGCTGTTAAGCTGGCTCCTGCACTTTTTTACCATCATTGTAGAAAATAATTTTTTAGGTAGCGCTGGTTCCAGAAGTATAAGAAACATACTAAGCAGAATTGAACCCATCCGATGGCCAGGAGTCAGGCCCAGCTGAGCCCCGCTTAGGCCAGCCAAATTCCATGTAACCCGAAGATGTTGTATGCTGTGAATTTTGTTACACAGCTTTATTGTGGGAATAGCTGACAGATACACTATTTATAAAAACACCTACACAGGGCCTGGTACATCGTAGAGGTCCAGTAAATGCCAGTTGCTGTCTCTTTTCATCACATACACTAACATGGGAGCCAAGACATTTCCCTGATTCTTATCCCTCAAATCAGACTTCTGGATAAAGACCTTGGAATGAAAGCCATGTTGGGATTGAAGCTCAAATTGGTAATGGAATCCTGCCCATGCAAACCCTCTTTCCTCATGTGGCTCCCAGCACTTCTCTGATCAGAGATAGAGACCTTTGTAACAGCATTAGTTCCCCCTCACCCCGTCTTTTAAAGGAGGCACAAGCCTGTCTTTTCCTAAACTTTCCTAGAAAGACCTCACCCCTTGTCTGTGTCTGTCACTTAGGGCACAGCATAAGCTGTTTCTTACCATTTCACTTTTCACCTGCCTTCATTAATGATAACTCTAATATAATAGTCAACATTTTAAAATATTAATTGCTCATCAGGCATGATGCTGGGTACTTGACATAAATATTGTTTAAAAGTCAGCACATCTAAAGATCAAATGAATGCTTCATTTACAAAATGTCTAATGATTTTGAATTATATGTGAGTCAAGGTTTCAAAGCCTGATTAATTATAAAAATATATTTTTCAAAAGTCAACACATCCTTATGGTGTAGATAATGGTATTATCTCTCATTTGCGTATAAGGAACTTGAGGCCCACAGAGATTTGGTGCTACCCAGACCCAAGTCCATCTGATCCCCAAACCATGCCCTTACCCCCACCCTATGCAGCCAATGTGGTCCCTCTAACTAGATTGCAAGGTCCTTGAATTCACAAGCTGTATCGGATGCACTTGGTGAGCCCATCACACACAGTAGTCACATGGCTGTCATTTAGTGACTGGCTGGAGCTGCAGGGATCAGGCAAGGGGTTTTCATGTTCATGGCAGGGCTGATCCTTCTGCAGAAGCACCCAACACCCTGGGCAGATCCTGTGCTTCCCACCGTCAGCATCTACCAGCCACACTGGACCAGTGTCTACCTCCTCTGTATTTCTGCTCAGTCTTAGGTGCTCTGTGAATTTCCAAAACACACAACAGGTCTCTGGGAGTCCTGGGAATTGTCACAATGCTTTTGTTGGCAAGCAACAGAAGCCAGGTTTGGGCTCTGGTGTCCTTTCCTTTCACTTTTCTTGTCTGCCCATTTCTGTAGATCCACTTGATTTTCTGCTGGATTTCCCCATGTTCCAAGCCTGTACACCCTCGAGATTGAATTTGTGTTCCCAGCCTCTGGGCCACTCCCTGTGGTGTTCCATGGGAATCTCATATGCGAAGTGACTTCAGTCTGGGTTATTTGTACCAACCACTATGACAAGGTAGCTAAGACTTACTCCAGTCAGGACTCTGGAGCTAGGGCAGGGTCAGACACACACCATCTTCGTGGTTGCCAGGGCAGCGGGAAGGGTGGAAGGATGCTTGGCAGCAATGACACATCTATATGGAGGGATGATGTGTGGAGGAAGGGGTGGGGTGGGAGAGCAGAGAGGCTGCAGGAGGGGCCCCAGCATGCTACTTGGTTCTCAGAGAAAGCAATGTCCTTTTATAGCCTATGTCCTCCGAGGCTCTCAAACAATTGTACCAGCCCCTGGCAGGGTGATTCTTTCTCTCCTGTAAGAGGAGTTGCCCATTAGCCTTGGCTGTGCCTAAGTGTGGATTCTTCCAGAACAGATCTGGGACAAGGTCTCGTGTGCCTGCGATTTATTAAGGAAGTGCTCCCAGGGCAAACTGGGAAGGGGCTGAAGGAAGCAGGTTGGGGTAGAGAGGAATCCAAGCCAGGGGTGATCACAGGCGACATCCTACAGATGACGGCTTTTCAGCCTGATCCTGAGGGGGAGCTCTGAGTGCAGGGGACACTTCAGTTAATCTTAACCCAAGGCAAGGGAGCTGGACTTTCAAATTCTTGTGCCCATTAGTCATTGGACAAGGATTGCAGGTGTGGGAGGAGAATGCAAATTTCTAGGCACCTTGGGCTCTCTGTCCCTCCAAGCAAGGTGAAGGGAGCCCTCTGAAGAAGATCCCCAGGAAATGCTGCTTATAAGCTGTGGTCAGATGTCTTTGGGCCTCACTTTCCTTATACATAAAATGTGAATAGGCCGGGCGCAGTGGCTCACACCTGTAATCCCAGCACTTTGGGAGGCTGAGGCAGGTGGATCACGAGATCAGGAGTTCAAGACCAGCCTGGTCAACATAGTGAAACCCAGTCTCTACTGAAAATACAAAAAATTAGCCAGGTATGGTGACGGGCACCTATAATCCTAGCTATTTGGGAGGCTGAGGCAGGAGAATCGCTTGAACCTGGGAGGCGGAGATTGCAGTGAGCTGAGATCGCGCCATTGCCCTCCAGCCTGGGTGACAGTGCCAGACTCCGTCTGAAAAAAAAAAAAAAAAGTGAATAATCCCATTACCTGCATCATAAGGATGTGGACATGTTAACTTTATATATATATAAATTGATTAGGCTTTTGAAACCTTGCCTTACAACTCAAAAACCATTAGACATTTAGTAAATGAAGCATTAATGTGATCTCCCTTAGATGTGTTGATTTTAAACCAATATTTATGTCAAGCACCTAGCATCGTGCCTGATAAGCCACTGATATTTTAAAATACTCTTATGTTAGGCCGGGCACAGTGGCTCACACCTGTAATCTCAGCACTTTGGGAGGCCAAGGCGGGCGAATCACTTGAGATCAGGAGTTCAAGACTAGCCTGGCCAACATGGCAAAACCCCATTTCTACTAAAAATACAAAAAATTAGCTGGGTGTAGTGGTGGGCACCTTAGTCCCAGTTACTTGGGAGGCTGAGGCAGGAGAATTGCTTGAACCCGGGAGGTGGAGGTTGCAGCAAGCTGAGATCGTACCACTGCACTCCAGGCTGGGCGACAGTGAGACTCTGTCTCAAAAAAAAAACAAAAAAAACAAAAAACCAACCAAACAAAAAACAACTATTATGTACTATTATGTTAGAGTTATCATTGAGGAAGGCAGGTGAAAAGTGGAATGGTAAGAAACAGGTTATACCATGAGGTAAGTCAGGTGCATACTGCAGGAAGTGAAAGCCCTTCGGAGCTGGAGGGGTCACGGAAACAAAAAAGGGAGGAAGGGATTTGGGGGATGGGTAGAGTGCTGACAATGCCTGCTCCTGGCTGGGGTACATGTGTCAGTTCTCACCCATAAAGGAGGACTCAAACTCCAGCCCTCAGCCCCAACTCTACCCACAGACATGTTTTGCTTGGCCCACAGTGTACTACTGACTGCTCAATACCGTAAAGCTTCTGAATTAGTTGCCAATGTTTAAATCTCAGGTAATTTTTAAATAAAAATCCAGATCCCTGGCTCCTCTTGAAAAATCATAGTTGTTATCAGAGGCCCACATAGCCACACGGCCACAGTTGCAAGATGCCACAGAGTCCGCCCAACCTGAGCAATTTTACCTGGCGGCCTTGATGCCACAGGCCCCACCACTCTCTATTTGTCCCAAGCACACGCACTATAATTATTCTTATAGGAGAACTAAGGGGAAAGAGAAATCTTTTTTTTTTTTTTGTGCCTACCTCTCTAAAATGGAGAAAATCTCTACAGCCCTAGGATGGTTAATGTGGATATGAGATGTGACTGTATCTGAAGAATACGGCACAAGGTGCCATTGGCAAGCAAGCCCCTGAGCTGCTGCCGCTGGGCCCCTCTAGGTTTGTGTGTTTGTCTCTCCTGCTGTGAGCTGTACGTTCCCACCAGACTCTGGCTTTCCCACCAAGATCCAGCTGTGCTGCTCCGCTTCCCCCTCCCTAGCCCATTTTGTGAAAAGCAGCTGTTTTTCCCTTTCCAGCTCTCCAAGTGCTGATTTCATCTCTTTCCCGACAAAAGTTTGAAGCCAGGAGGGAAATGGTTTGGCAGAAAGTCAGATTGCAGTGGGAGCAAGAAGACTACGTGGAGGAGGCCGATGCCGGGTAGCGGTCCAGGATGAGGGGTCTGGACGCGGCTCTGCAGACTCCATGAGACAAGAAGCCCCAGGAATCTAGGCGGGGCATAGGGCTCTGTGGAATTCACTCCTCTGAGCTGTTTTCAGCAACTTTAGCTAGGGGTGATGTCAAAGAGTTCCATTTCTCAATAGCTTTTCTGGAAGAGGGGTGGAGACAGCCATGGGGAAACCATGATGAGACACCAGGGCTCACCGGGGCTGACCACCCCTCAACTCAGTGCTACAGTTCGACTTTTGAGCACTTACATTGTGTGTGGACTGTGCTGGGGATGGAAGGAGGCTCGAGAGAACATGAGATGGTTAGGAGGTGAATAAGGACTGAAAACGGGTCACCAAGGCAACCAGGCTCAAAACTCATGGCACTGGGGAGGGACAGCCAGGTCAGGAGGAGCCAGAACTGCCCACCCCGGTACCGTGTGCGGTCCCACTTCCCGGGGGGGTCACACATTGTCCCCACTACCACCCCCGGCCTTATTAAAATCACCCTTCCCTCCCAATCAAGCTGAGCCAACATCTCTGACTGAGTCTGGAAAAATTCCTTTCTCCTTAACTAGGCCAAAAAAAGGTTGAACATTTCCCAAAGGAACACTGAGGCACAAAGGGAAACCCCAGTCACGGAGAAACCGGTGAGTTTACAGAGTGCAGATTTCTGAGCCCAGTGTGACCAAACGTCCCACGGAAACCATGGAAGGTCGCCTTGATGGGCATGGGAAGAGGTGGCTGTTCCTTGGAATTCCTTGACTCAGCTGGGCCTGAGGTGGAGGCCAGCAAATGCCAGCAAACTGTGGATGTGGCCGGGGCGGGGGCGGGAAGGGCTCTGCTTCCAGCCTGGTGGGTGCCTCAGTGCTTCTCAGGGACTGGGCCCAGGTCTTTGTCTGGGAAGGGGCTCTCCATGCACCTGCCAGGCCCTCCAGCCAGGCCCCCTCAACATCCCCCTGGCCTCCTTGAATGTTGTCCCGGCTCTGCCCCCTTTCATGAGGAAAGCCTTGAATTTTCTCCTCACTCTTCTGGAAGTCACTGGCTCCTTGGCTCAGGGTGTCCCCCACCCTGACCCCATCTCGCTCTGACCGTCTGGTTGTCCTAAAGCATGTTCACAGGGTTTCAGGCTGGCTCTGCCTTGGAGCTGCCATGTTCCACTGGGTCCTCCGATGAGTCAGCACAGATTCCCGCGGGCTGTTTCCAAACGTGAATCACTGTTGGAGTCCCTTTGGCATTTGGCTCCTGAATCGAGGAACTAACCTTATCCTTAGGGAAGCCACAGCCGACCTACCCAAGTGTAATAACTATAGAAATGTTATTTTTAAAAATAGGTAATACATGTGCATGTTAATGCAATCAAACACGAACATAAGTGGCCTCTCTCCCTGCCTCCATTTCCCCCCTGCAGAGGCAACCAGTGCCCTGTGCGTTTTCCAGAGACATTTTATGCAAGCAAGAGCATATATGTATGTTAATATATTTTGAAGATAATTTCATATCAGCACATAAAGTACTGCTTCATTTAAAAAAAATGGTTGCTAGTATTCCCTTGCAGGATGGTACATTTATTTAGCCAATTTCCTATTGCCAAGCACTTGGGTTGCTTCCAATGTTGCTATCTCAGAGAGCTTTGTCACTAGATTGTTTGGCATGTGTGCCCATGTGTCTGCAGGATAAATCCCAGAAGTGGGATTGCTTAGCCAAAAGATATGTTCATTTTAAATTTTTATAAATATTGTCAAAATGCCCTCTAGGGTAATAGTACTTACTGATTTTTTACTCCCGGTAATAATATTTGAGAATGTCTGTCTCTCTATACTCTCATCAACACACAGTGCTATGAAACTTTTTGCCAGTCTGTTAGCTAAAAGCAATTGGTATACAATCATAATTATAATTTTTGCTTTTAATACTAGTGTGGTCAAGCATCTTCTCCTATGTTTAAAAGTCAGTTGTGGGGCTGGGCAAGGTGGCTCACTCCTGTAATCCCAGCACTTTGAGAGGCCCAGGTGGGTAGATCACCTGAGGTCAAGAGTTCGAGACCAGCCTGGCCAACATGATGAAACCCGTCTCTACTAAAATACAAAAATTAGCCGGGTGTGGTGGCATGCACCTCTAATTCCAGCTACTCGGGAGGCTGAGGGAGGAGAATTGCTTGAGCCCAGGAGGCGGAGGTTGCAGCGAGCCAAGATTGCACCATTGCCCTCCAGCCTGGGCAACAGAGTGAGACTCAGTCTCAAAAAAAAAAAAAAGGTCAGTTGTGGGTCCATTTCTATGAGCTTTGCTCTATCCTTTGCCATTTCTTTCTTATTGATTCTAAAAGTGCTTTATATATTAAGGAAATTAGCCTTTGCCAACTGCATGTGTTGTAAACACTTTTTTTGCTTTGTTGGTTGTGCTTCGACTTTTATTTGACATTTGAATTACATTTTTTTATATAATCAAATTTATTATTATTTTTTAAAATGTGTTCCAGATTTTGTGTTATGTTAAGAAAGATCTTTCTCACTCTGAGGTTATTTTTTTAAAAGTATTCTATTTTTAATGCTTTTATGGTTTTAGTTTGAGGGATTAAATTTCTGATCCATCTGGAATTTATGTTGGTGTGAGGAATAAGGTGGGGATTTAGCTTTAATTTTTCCCAGATGACCACTTGGTTGTCCCATTCAATTGGGATCTTTTATTTGTTTGTTTGTTTTGAGATGGAGTCTCACTCTGTTGCCCAGGCTGGAGTGCAGTGGTGTGATCTCAGCTCACTGTGACCTCCACCTCCCGGGTTCAAGCGATTCTCCTGCCTCACCCTCCCAAGTAGCTGGGATTACAGGCATGTGCCACCACATCCGGCTAATTTTTGTATTTTTAGTAAAGATGGGATTTCACCATGTTGGTCAGGCTGCTCTTGAACTCTTGGCCTCAAGTGATTCGCTTGCCTAGGCCTCCTAAAGTGCTGGGATTACAAGCGTGAGCCACTGCACCTGGCTGAATTGGGATCTTTTGAATAATCGCTTTTCTCCACTGATGTAAATTTTGAAGTGGATGCTCCGTAAATGTTTCCTTGGCATGTACAGTCATGTGTCCCTTTAATGGGGGATTATGTTCTGGGAAATGCATTATTAGGCAATTTCCTTGTTGTGTGAACGTCACAGAGTGACTTACACAAACCTAGATTGTACAGCCTGCTACACACCTAGGCTATGTGGTGTAGTCTGTTGCTCCCAGGTTACAAACTTGCACAGTACGTCTTTGTCCTGAATACTGCAAGCAGTTGTAACACAATGTAAGTGTTTTTGTATCTACACAGAGAAAAGGTACCGTGAGAATATGGTATAAAAGATAAAAAGTGTCCACTTCTATGGAGCACTTACCATGAATGGAGCTTGCAGGACTGGAAGTTGCTCTGGGTGAGTCAGTGAGTGAGTGGTGAGTGAATGTGAAGGCCTCGGACATTACTGTACACTACTGTAGACTTCAGAAACACTGTACACTGAGGCTAATTTAGAAAATACGTTTTTCTTTTGTCAATAATAAATTAACCTTAGCTTACTGTAACTTTTTCATTTTATAAACTTTTTAATTTGTTTTAACTTTTTGACTCTTTTGTAATAACCCTTACCTTAAAACACAAGCACATTCGTACAGCTGTACAAAAGTACTTTCTTTACATCCTTATTCTATGAGTTTTTTCTGTTTTTAATTTTTTTAACTGTTTGAACTTTTTTGTTAAAAACAAAGACAAAAACGCACACATTAGCCTAGGTCTACGGTCAGGGTTGTCAGTATCACTGTCTTCCACCTCCACATCTTGTCCCACTGGAAGGGCTTCCAGCGCAGTAACATGCATGGAGCTGTCATCTCCTAGGATAACAATGCCTTCCTTCTTCTGGAACACCTCCCAAAGGACCTGCCTGAGGCTGTTTTACAATTAACTTTTTTTTTTTTAATTAGTAGAAGGTACATGCTCTAAAATAATGATTAAAATTATAGCAAATACATAAACCAGTAACATAGTAGTTTATTAATCATTATCAAGTATCATGCACAGCACATACAGTATTTATATGTGCTAGACTTTTATATGACTAGCAGTGCAGTAGGTTTGTTTACACCAGCATCCCCACAAACACACAAGTGATGCATTGTACGACATGATGACAGCTATGACGTCACCAGGCAACGGGAATTTTTTTTTTTTTTTTTCTAGACAGGGTCTCGCCCTGTTGCTCAGGCTGGAGTGCAGGGATGCAAACATGGCTGACTGCAGCCTCAACTTCCTTGGCAGGAATTTTTCAGCTCCATGGTCATCTTATGGGACCACCATAGTGTATGCAGCGCCTGATGGTATTTAGAAGGGAGGCGGAGAGGAGTGAAACGGCTGGATGCGCCTTTGCCTCAGCATTATCTTCTCAGGTGGTTCAGTTCAGAATCCAAACTTGGAAACTCTACTCAGAAAAGGAAAGGCCCTCCAGTTACAGAGTCCTTCTCTCCCCAGAAGGCAGCCTAGTGATGCTTGGTACTGCTCCGCCCCGTCTTCATCCCCACAGTTGGACAAAGTGCTCCTTCCAATCTCTGGGGAGTGTGATTTGCTCCATCTTGTCATATTTCCAGGTTGCTGCCCTGGTCAGCTTCCTGGCTGGGCTACCACCTGTGGGGCACCCGCTGGGGGCTCCGATCTGCACCATGTATAAGAGTAAGAGGCTTCGTCTCGTTTAATCATCAGCGCACTCCTCCTTCTACCCCATCTCAGGGTTGAGGAAGACAGGCTTGGAGAGGTTCAGCCTTCCCAAGTCCCAGTCTGCAGGTAACAAGTGTAGAATTTGAACCAGCTCTCAACTCCAGAGCCTGAACTCTTGGCTCCCTAGGGATGCTGTCATCAGAAACCAGAACCTGCACGTGTCTCAGATGCTCCGGCAGCACTAAGAGCAGTCGGGTGGCCTGAGAGGGTGGGATCAAGAGCATTGTCAGTGTCCCCCATTCTCATTGCATCTCATGGCTCCCCTGGAAGCCATGGCTGCGTGCACACCCACTGCAGGCCCTATCAGCCAACCAGAACACCACTCCCTGGGCCACTGTCTTCCTTTGGGTTCTTAGGAGCACCGTCAAAATGCTCCTTTCCCGAGACCCATGCCCACATGGCACACTCGATGTCGGGCACCTACAGATGTAATGAGTTCTAGTTTTCATTATCTCCAGTTCTAAGAGTAAAGGCAACACAGTGGCCAGTCCAGGCTCTGATTCCCGGGTGAGGCCGGCTGCTGCTGCACGTGATGGGAGCAGCGCCATTGGAACCCATGTGATCCAGACCGCCAGCCCTCACCCTAGCCCCCAGCCCCAGTGCGGGAAATGCTCTTTATAACATTCACTCTTTAAAGGCCACCTGGATCATTGTTTTCTTTTTCTAAATCTCAGCTTATTCAAAGAAAAATGACTTTAGCTTGGCATGTGAGAAAGGTCAGGACATTACACTGTTGGAAATGTCTATATGCTTGAAAAGAACCGAGAGTCCTCTGAATACGTAGCTCCCCCAGCGTCTTCACAGTGGGGTGTTTCACCCATTTCGTGGAGTCCAAAGTAAGTGATTTTTACATCCTGTCATCCGTAGGGGTGGGGATAGATCACCCAGCCACCAGGCTAAATGGGAGAGATTTGTTTATTCTTAAAATATGAAGAGTTGCCGTGGTCCTGGAATCTGTCAACAGTCAGATTCTTTTTTTCCAATCATAAACAATTGTTTAAAAAGTGTTTTTATTTTATGTTCATCTTAATTTTCCCAGACTTTTCATCTTGAAAAATTTTAAGCCATAGAAAACTTGCAAGAATAATAACTATGAAATTTACCAGCAGTTAATATTTTGCCACATTTGCTATATCTCTATATAAACATATTCATTGGTCAAAAAAAAAATCAGTATCTTTCCTTCCCTTCTCTCCTCTCCCCTATCACTTTTCTTCTCTTTCTTTTTTAATTTCCTTTCTTCTTTCTCTTTCTCTCCCTACCCCACCTTCTTTCTTTCCTTTTTTATCATTTCCCTCTCTTTTTATTTATTTATATTTTTAGAGATAGGGTCTCACTGTTTCCCAGGCTGGAGTATGGTGGCATGATCATAGCTCACTGCAACCTTGAACTCCTGGCTCAAGCGATCCTCCTGCCTCAGGCTCCTGAGTAGCCGGGACTACAGATGTGCACTACCACAGCTGGCTAATTTTTTTATTCTTTATAGAGATGGGGTCTCACTATGTTGCCTATGCTGGTCTCAAACTCCTGGCCTCAAGCAATCGCCCTGTCTTGGCTTCCCAAAGCACTGGGATGACACATGTGAGCCACTGCACCAGGCCTTTTTGTTTCTTTCTATATTTGAGAATAGTTGCGGAGATATCTTGAGATTTTATCCAGATATTTCCACATGTCTTTTCTAAGATAGTGAGCATTTTCTCACATAAGAATGAAACCATGACCACCCTCAATGAATTTAATGTAGATACAAGCCTGGTCTCTTTACATGGCCCATGTCCAAATGTTGCAAGTTGTCCTTGTCATGTCCATGTCCCTTTTTATCCAGTCAAGACCCGCCTCCCTCCATTGTGCCTCCGCTCAAGCTCCTCTCACCTGGAGCCACCTTTGGGCCTGTCTTGTCTTTCATGACCCTGATATTTCAAAGCATTCAGTCATTTGTTTGACAGACCGTGCCTCAATTTGGATTTGACTAATTGCTCTTCAGGAAGAGATTCGGGCTTGTATTAGTCAGTTTTCTGTTGCTATAACTGAATATCTGAGACTGGGTAATTTGTAAAGAAATGAAATTTATTTCTTACAGTTCTGGAACTGGGAAGTTCAAGGCTGAGGAGCTGCATCTGGTGAGGGTCTTCTTGCTGGTGGCCTTCTTCTGCAGAGTCCTGAGGTGCTGCAGGGGATCTTGTGGCAGAGGTAGGAGCAAGAGTCAAGCTGGCTTTTTAATGACCGACCGCCATGATAACCCAAGAACCTATTAATACACGAATGGCCCTCATGATCCAGTCCCTTTTTAAAGGCCCCACCTCTCAATGCTGCCATATTAGGAATTAAGTTTTAAGATGAATTTCAAAGGAGACAAACCTTCAAACCATAGCAAAGTCAAGCTTTTTTGAAGGGACAAGATTAATCATAATTTTTATTCTATTTGTGTGCATGTGTGTCCTTTTTAGAGATGGGTCTCACTCTGTCCTCTAGGCTGGAGTGCAGTGGCTCAATCATAGTTCACTGCAGCCTTGAACTCCTGGGCTCAAGTGATCCTCTTACTTCAGCCTCCTGAGTACCTAGGACTACAGATGTGTGCCAATGCACTCAGCTAATTGTTTTCTATTTTTTTAGAGGTGGGGTCTCACTATGTTGCCCAGGCTAGTTTTGAACTCCTGGCCTCAAGCAATCCTCCCATCTCAGCCTCCCAAAGCAGTGGAATTACAGAAGTGAGCCACCATGCCTGGCAAAGAAGGTGTACGAACATACACACACTGGAGTCTTTCTTCTTCTCTTGCCCCTCAGTGGGTGACCCAGTTCCCATCCTGGCAGGCAAATCACATTCCCAGTGTCTGTCTCCTTCCACAGATGATACAAGGGGAGTGTTTAATGGTGTCTCCTGCATCTGTAGCTGGATAGTTTGATCAGTGGGTGTGTCTGATTGTGTCACTCTCTTGCCTAGAAACCGTGGAAGGGTCTTGGAAGGCCAACTAAGATCTTGCTTGGCCCACAGGATCTAGTGCTCTGGCCCGGCCCACCTCACAGCCTCACCTGGTTCTACTCTCTGGCTTGGAGAGACCCCACCACGATGGCCTCCCTCCAGCCTCCGCACAGACCCTTGGATGTGCCATTCCCTCTCTCTGGAAGGCTTTTGCTCCCTTACCCCATCAGCTACTCATCATCCTGCATGTCTTGGCTCCCAGCCCCTTTTCCTCTGGGAAGTGGTCGCCAAATCCCAGGCAGGGTCCTATCACCTGGTAACACCCCTCTCAGGGACAGTGTATTCGCTGTCTGCTCCAGGAGGGAGGAACCTCTTCTAATGTGGGCACCAAGCGCCGTGCCTGGTGCATAATTGGCTGTCAGTAAACATTTGTGGAGAGAGCAAATGCACTCATGAATCCCTCACATCACAGAAGGCGGGGCCAGAGCCAGGGTGGAGGTGGGAGTAGAGGAACTCCGGGGCTGGCTGCTGAGGAAGGTTCTCTCTGATGGTGCAGCAATAGCAGGTCAAGCCCAGGGTCAAGATAAGGAGCCAAACGTCCCAAAGGTCGTAGGTGGTCAGCGATGGGGCCAGCTGGATGTTGCCAGTGGGTAACACTCCTGCTCTGCCAGGTCTGAGGCTCAGAGTTCCCAAAGGAGCAAGCAAGTTCCTAGGAGAGGAAGAGGAGAACCAGACTAGGTATCCGGTCAGGAACAAGGGACCCAACAAAATGAGGTGGGAGACTTGGGGCTGAGGTGCGGGCGGTTGCTCCGGATAATGACAGAATGGATGTGCAGAGGCCTGGCCATCAGCCAGGGTCCTGCACTGGAGATGTCCCATGGAGAAGGCAGGGCCGAGGCCCAGCAAGGCTAATACAATTCTCTCTCCAATGTCTGGAGCCAGCTTAGGCCACAGAAGGTATAGACCATGACATTGACCCAGCTAAGTCCTACAGTGTCCGTTGGGCCAGGAAAGGTTGTTTAAGGGATGAACAGGACAATCTCTGCAAACAAAAAAGTCTCACATTTTTGGCCTAAGGCCAGAGGGAAAAGCAAAGTTCACCAACAACAGCCCCATGATCCCTCTCCACCTTCCACCTGAAGTGAGAGGCAGGGTGAAGCCCAGCAAAGCTTTCTGCACTGTGTGACTGCAGGGGGCAAAGGATATTCATGGAGAAAAGAAAGAAAAACCCCAACAGGGATTTTCTTCAGTGCATGGAACTGGTTTTGTTTTATTTTGTTTTTTAGAGTTTCCTGCAACTTTCTATTTTTTTTCTATACATGAATGCCAATTATTTTTACACTTTTACCAAAGACAAAACCCTTTTCAAGGATTCTGTACGCATCCCCTGAGAGTACTGGTTCTAAACCTTGACTACATGTTAAAATCACCTAGGGAACTTTAAATACGCCAATGCCTGGGTCCCACCGCGAGGTGATTCAGATTTTAGTGCTTGGCAGTGTGGCCTGCCCAGGTGATTATAATGTGCAGATTGAGAGCCACTGCCCTAAAATGAGTATGCACTAGAGAGGTCGAATAAAAGATATGCTCTTACCAAGCACCCATATCCAGGAAGGCCATGTTCAGTTGTATGAGCTGCGTACTGCATACCTCCAGGGGACACCATTTGCATAGCCTATAACATAAAAGTGCCTCCCTGGAGTTATGCAATGTGGCAGCCTTGTAAGTATGGATATATAAATTACATATTCATAGATACATAATTTAAACATTGATTGCATCTGTTCACTATAATTCTCAGTGGGAGGGATGGAAATGATGTTCAGTAGGATATACAGAGTATTTTGGAAGACTTAGTTTATATTGTCTGGGATTTTAAAATTTGGTGAATCATTCTCCAAGAAGATGATTATAAATTTAAAAAAATAAATAAATAATAAAATCTGATGAAGGTTAAGATAACAATAAAAACACCGAAAGCCAAGGTGACCATGTCAATCTAGAACCATGGGTTGCACGGGACAGAGAAGACTGAGAGAGAGGATGCATCTGAGAGGGCTGGGACGTGTGCAGAAGCACAAGTTTGGATGGGAAGTCTCCAGCAGGCAGTCCGTGGAGGTGTGGCTGGTGGCAGAATTGTTGGAGCAATGGGAGCATCCTGTGGAGTATTTTCCCTCTGCCATGAAGCATTCCTGTTTCTGCCACTGCTATCATTCAGAGATTGAATCTAATTCCCTGCTCTTGGACCTGAGGTGACCTTTGACTTCTTTTAATGAGTAGAATGCAGTGCAAGTGATGCTATATAAGTATAATGGTTTCAGTCATTTTCAGCTTCTGCCTTTACTTCTTTAATGGCTCCTTCTTGGACCCTCACTGCCATTCTGTGAGGAAGCCCAGGCAGCCAAGTGGAGAGGCCCACACAGAGGAACCAAGGCTGCCAGTCAACAGCTCCGCAGATCCCCAGCCAGTAGCCCGGTGGAGCCATGTGAGTGAGGCAATTCTGTAACCTTCCAGCCATCCCAGGGTCCCAGCTAACACTAGGCAAAGCAAAGGAAACACCCGGTCAACCCACAGAATGGAGAGAAATGATACATTTTTGTCGTTTTGAGTCACCAAGTTTCAGAGTATTTTGTGACTCAGAAATAGGTGGCTGAAGCAGGGCCACTTCTGCTCTGCAGGTGGGCACAGGCCAGTCTGCTGGAAGGGTATGTGTGTTGAACTGGCTCTGAGGCCTTGTGAGGTTAGACGTGCTGGAAGATCCTAATAGGGAAAGGTTTCTTTACAAAAATTATACTTATCAAAGTTATATATATACACACACAGACACATATGTGTGTGCGTGTGTGTGTGTGTGTGTTATATAGTGGCAACAACTCAGTTACATCAGAAAGGCTTACAATGAAAAGCAATCGTGTCTCTCCTGCTGTACTTGCCCCTGTTCACTCCCAGTCCTACTCCCCCAAGACAGCATCTTTTGCCAGTTGCTGTTTATGGATTTTCTCCACACTCCAAATCACATACTTATACCTCCGTTCCTCAGTTACCATCTTTAGACAACAGCTATTCACTCCCCAATACCTAAGATGAGCATTTAGCTCACTACTCCCAATGTCTGAACTTTCATGACTATTTTTGACTCCTGCATGAGCATTTCCTCTTCTGACAGCAGTCGCTGATTCCCAGCTCTGTAAGATGAGGACATCAGTGCCCCTCCCTTTCTTTCTGCTTTTCTCTTCCCTTCTTCAATCACTCGTGTTTTGTGCCTCTGCTTCTACCACTTCATAGCACTGTGGTGTTTAATCTCGGGTGCCTGGGCTTCCTGGGAGAGCAGCCATGAATTCCTTAAAATTAAGTGTAAAATTGTGTGTGTGTATTTATGATCCATTTCCTGGGGAGAGTCCAGAGCTTTCATCAGACACTCCCAGAGGGGTCAAGCTCGGGTGCTGTATGGGACTCTGTACTGAGGTCTTCCGTCCGCCACCAGAGCCACCCTCATCCTTCTTCAGACTTCCGGCTGGGTGTGGCCAATGGGGGGCCCGGGCAGGAGTAGCAGGAAGGGGACGAGGAGAGTGAGGAAAGGCATTTGCTTATTCCTGTGGCTCCGTCTCTGCTGGGTCATCTCGGGCTGGTTGAGTCTCAGCTGAAGGACCTTACTCCGCCAACGGTTGCCTTTTCCACGTAGCTATCTCCTTTGGTAAAGGCTTAATTGTTCCTAGCCCCAGGTCACTGCATTTTTCTTGGTGGTCTTATACACCCTGCCCATACCTTTGTAAACAGTCCTTTTAATAAGTCATCTGGAATTCTCTTAATTTGATTGTGACATTTGTTTCCTGTTGGGACTCTGTAATGACCATGTTCCTCGGACACAAACTCTGAGACAGAGGTTATATGCAGGAAGTTTTCGGACAGTGCTCTTGGGCAGAGGGAGGAGTTGAACTGCGATGTTGTCACCATGAGGGCTGGAGCTGGCCCTGTGGGAGATCTGAAGCTGGGATAGTCTTTGGAGTTATTCCAGTCCAGGCAAGGGGGCCCAAATGACCAGACATTGGATGCCAGGAGGGGACATAAGCTTGGTCAAAGTGGGTCTCTTCAGGTGAGGGCAGTTCTCAGGAAGGGCCCCCTGGCAGCAGGGACAGCCTGGCCTCTAGGGCAAGGAGAGCCTGGGTCTCAAAGCGGGAGGGGTTGGGGGTTATGGGGAGGCCCCTGGAATGCACTGCAGACCCAACCTTGGTCTGGTCGCTAGGCCGGGCCTTTTGTTCGCTGCATCCTGACACCTAGCACAGTGTCCCACACAGTGTAGGAGCTCAGCCAATATTTGTTGAATGAATGACTGAATGGAGTAACAACAAGCTTCTTTAATTGATTAAAATTCATAAAACTCAGAGCGCTTATGTATCGCTGCTTTTTTCAATTTTTATTTTTTAACTTTTTGTTTTGAAATACTTTCACACTTAGAAAAAAACTTATAAAAATGAGACAAAAATCATCCAGGTTTCCCAACTTGTAACATTTGCCTCTCTCTCTTATATATGTGTGTATATACACGTATTCACATATATATACGCAAACTGTTATTAATTTCTGAAACACTTTAGAAAGTTGGAGACCTCCTGCCCCTTTATCGTTAAATATTTCAGCATCTATCTCCTAAACATGAAGACATCTTCTTACACACCTGCGGTGCAATTTATCAAATTCAAGAGATAGAACACTGACTCATAGCTACTATCTGATGTACAGTCCCTTATAGAAACTCCCTCCCCACGTCAAGGATTTGATCCCGGATTACACCCTGCCCTCCACTGTCTTGTCTCTTGGTCTTTTTCCTTTGTCCTTCATGGCCCTGGCATTTTAAAGGACCCATTGTTTCAGGAAATGCTCTCAAGTTCAGGTCTGTCTGTTTCCTTATGATCAGATGAAGGCTGTGCCATTGGCAGGAACCACTCTTCATCTCCAAACCTAGTGGGTTCAAAGTTCACTGCGTCTCTCTTCCCTGTACTCTCCTCAGGGAGGAGCCACTATACCCAGTTTCTATTCTTAGGTCCAAGGGTGAAATCACCTACTCAAGGTCGCACACTTAATGACTGAGCTAAGTCCAGGTACCCTTAGCTGCCGCTCAGCATCTTTTTCACCACACCTGGTAAAAGAAGGGACTTCCACAAACACTTCCCCTCTCCCTTGGCCTCTGGAGGAGGCACCCACTTCCTAACCCAGCCCTTCGTTGTGCTAACTGGGGTAATGGGCTACCTTGATTTTCAAAATAAAGCCTCTAGAGCTGCTCTCAGAAGGGAAACCTCTGGAAGAGGGCTTGTAGGAGGGGGAGGAGGGAGAAGGGGGAGTGAGACAGGACGCTGGCAGGGCGGAGAGTTTGAGGGTGAGAGGGAGGGCTGGGTGAGCCCCTGCCCTGTGGCGTGGGCTTTGGAGACAGAGACGGACAGAAGGACTCTGTAAGAAGTTTGCAGTGGGCAGCGTTGGGTTTGGCACATGGCTCCCGACCCCCAACTCTTTCCTCTCCTCCTATGTTTGCCTGCTCAAGAGACTTGAGAAAAAAAAAGGTTTTCAGGGCTTTGGGAGAGGTCTGTGTTTATTCAAAGGCCACTGTGTTTAGATGGGCCCCAGCATGGCCCAGTTATATCCTGGTTACATATGAATGGCGGTGATTTCATTTGGATCAAGGATAAGAGATATGTTTGTGTAATAAACACTTAGAGATGAAACAGGTTGTCCTGGCAGGGTTCCCCAAGGGACTTTTCTAGAGCCGGGGTCGTCAGGGTTGTTGAGTTGGAAAAGACCCCAGAAAGAGCTCTTCTTTATTTCCCTCCAGTTATTTCCCTCCAGTTATTTCGTGAGTGCAAGTTTTGTGTCCCCAGACAGGCTGAACCTTCCAAGGCGCAAGCGTTAGGCCCTGTGAGCCCTCGTTCTGCCACATACTGCCTGTTGAAGTCTCTCACCTCTTTGGGCCTCAGCTCCTTCACCTATGAAATGGGCTTATAAATAGCGACTCTCAGACAGGATGTGCATGGATTAAATGGGATGCTGCCTCCCGACGCACTAGATGGGCTGTAGAGCATGGCACGTGTGTAAGGAACACACGTGTCATTCAGGACAGTGCCAGGGGGTTGGTGGAATACTACAGGACAGAGGAACAAAGCACTGATCTGCCAGCCCCAGGCATCTCAAGTTCAAACTCACCGTGAGCTTTCCCTGTCCTGGCTTCCCCTTGTCACAGTGGAGACGGGCCCAAGAGGGACCTGAGGCCTGAGGGGGTCTGTGCGGTGGCTGCAGGGGGCTGCTTACTGGAAAGAAGGCCTTGGGGAAGTCCCTAGCTTCCAGATTCTCCCCAGGAGCTGCCACTGGAAACCTTTGTCTGGAGACCAAAACTTTTCAAGACTTGACCATGAAGATTTCTGATTTCCCTGGAGAACAGCTCCTCCGAGCAAATCATCCCCTATCCTGGCTTTCAGCCTCGCAGCCCACACCTTTGACATCTCCACGGTAGAGCCAATCTATGCAGCTGGGCCCACTCTCCTCTGCTCCATCGGCAGTCCCACCTCCTTGTCTCCTTTCAGGGGGTCCCACTTTCCAAGTTCACCCCACTTCCAATGCACCTTCCAGATCATGTCAATCCCTGCTCAAAAGCCTTCTGACGCCCTCCGTAGTAAATGTTTTTTAGGTTTGGCCTAAAGCTGCATCTTGTAAGTTAGGCCTAAAGGTTTCTCCAGACACAGTGAACTGTAACCTAGCTGGATGTGTAAACAGACTGTAACCTACTCTTGTGCCAATCACCCAGCTTCAACCAATCACAAGTGGCCAACTGTTAAGTAAGACAAACTCCCAGTTGTAACCGGTCCGGCTGTTTCTGTACCACATTTCCTTCTTCTGGCTGCAGCTTTCTTTTTTCTGTCCATAAATCCTCTCTGACCACGTAGCAGCACTGGAGTCTCTCTGAACCTATTCTGGTTTGGGGGCTGCCCAATTCAAGAATTCTTCCTTGCTCAATTAAACTTTGTTAAATGTGTCTAAAGTTTTTCTTTTAACCATGTTAACCCCCCAGCTTTGCTCTCAAGTCCCTTCATCATTAGAGCCCACCTCACCTTTTCCAGCAAGATCTTTTTTTTTCCCCCTCTGTCGCCCAGGCTGGAGTGCAGTGGCAAGATCTCAGCTCACTGCAACCTCTGCCTCTTGGTTCAAGTGATTCTCCTGCCTCAGCCTCCTGAGTAGCTGAGATTACAGGTGCCCGCCACGATGCCCAGCTGATTTTTTGTATTTTTAGTAGACCTGGGTTTTGCCATGTTGGCCAGTCTGGTCTAGAACTCCTGGCCTCAAGTGATTTGCTTGCCTTGGCCTCCCACAGCGCTGGGATTACAGGCATGAGCCACGGCACCTGGCTTTCTACCCAGATCTTTAACCATCCTTCATGTGCTGTCCACTACAAACCCTGCCCCTCGATGTTCTTTGGTATACCTTGGGTTTTCCTGCCTCTGGGTCTTTTTTCTTTTCTTTTCTTTTCTTTTCTTTTCTTTTCTTTTTTTTTTTTTTTTTTTGAGATGGAGTCTTGCTCTGTTGCCCAGGCTGGAGTGCAGTGGTGCAATCTCGGTTCACTACAACCTCTGCCTCCCGGGTTCAAGCAATTCTCCTGCCTCAGCCTCCCAAGTAGCTGGGACTACAGGCGCCTGCCACCACGCCCGGCCAATTTTTTGTATTTTTAGTAGAGACAAGATTTCACCGTGTTAGCCAGGATGGTCTCAATCTCCTGACCTCGTGATCCGCCCGTGTTGGCCTCCCAAAGTGCTGGGATTACAGGCGTGAGCCACCGCACCTGGCCCCCTTTAGATCTTTTTTAATGCTGTTCCTCCTGCTTGGAATGTCCTCCTTCAGTAATTTCTACCCATTCTCCAAGCCTCATCCCGAATGCCTCCTCCCCGTCATCCTACCCCCAACTGGACCCACTCTTTCCTGCAGTTTATGCTTGGCATTCACCAGACCCTGCCTTGTTTCCATCTTTGGAACAAGCACGCATCAGCTTGCAAGAGCCAGTTTTGGGAATCTCTTCTCAACTCTGGGTTCATCGAAGTCATTTTGGCAGTTTGAAATCAGTCCTGGTTTACTTATGCCAGGGAAATCAGCAAATGTTACAAGTCGGGGTCCTCCCATCCCCCAGAAAGCTGGCTACCAGCACAGCACTGCTTATCTTCCTATTCCCTGGGCTGGATGCGAGCTTCATGAGGGAGGGCGGGGCATCTCTGAAAGCCCATGTGTCTCCCACCAACAGCTCTTGACAGGCACCGCACTCAACAGGAACTTTAAGCTGAAGTTTAACTCGTGTGATGCAAGGGTCCCTGAAACTGGACGTGAGATGGGTAAGGTAGTGGAGTCATGAGAGAGGGGAGAGGCTCTGAACATTAAAAGTACCAAAAACTCACCCTTTTCTATTCCGGGTGTCAAAGACCACCAAGGACCCCACCACTCTTGTGGCCTCCCATTTTTTACCTTCCATGTTTGAAAAATGACAATAGTTAATACTTCCTGGATGCTGTGGTAGGTTAAAGATGGCCACACATTCTTTGCTACTCTTCTTGTTGGGATGTGGGGTCTGTGTCCCTTCTTGCTGAATTTGGAGAGGCTCTGTGGGCACTTGGCCAGTAGAAAATGGTGGAAGTGCTGCCATACTAGTTTCTGGGCCAGGCCTTAGGTGTCTGTGTCTGGCAGCTTCCACTTCCACTGCTGGGACTCCTGCTCTGGGAGCTTTGACCTTTGTAAGAAGTTTGACTACCCTGGGCTGGTCATCCTGAAGAGGCCACGTGTGGGTACTCTGATCAATATCCCAGCTAAGATCAGCCTTCCAGCTGTCCCCACCAATGCACCAGACATGTAAGTGAAGCTCCTTCAAACCAGCCAACTTACCTTCTAGACACAAAGGGACTGTCCTAGAGCCATGAGGAGCAGAACAGTTGCCCAACCCAGCCCTGCCCAGATTCCCAATCCATAAAATTGTGAGAGATAGTAGAATGGGGGTTGTCTTGGATCACTAAGCCTTGGAGTCATTTGTTACACAGCAGTGCTTACTTAACTTACTATGTTTCAGACACTGGGCTGGGCATTTTAGTTGCTTTATTCCAATTAATCTTTACACCATCTTCATGGAGCAAGCCTTATTATCATCTCCTTTTTACAGATGAGGCAATTGAGGCTTAGAGAGGTTGAGTGCTATGGAATGAATTGTGTCTCCCCCAGAATATGTATGCTGGAGCCCTCACCCCCAAATGTGGCTATATTTAGAGGTAGGGTCTTTAAAGAAGTAATTAAGGTTAAATGAGTCATAGATCATAAGGGTGGGGCCCTAATCTGATATGATTAGTGTCCTTAGAAGAAGAGGAAAAGAGCAGAAGTTCATATGCACAGAGAAAAGGCCATGAAGACAGTAAGAAGGCAAGCCAAAGGTGTAGGATAAACCAGCCCTGCTGACAACTTGATCTTGAACTTCCAGCCTCCAGATGAGAATACATTTCTGTTTAAGCCACCCAGTCCGTGATGTTTGTGACGGCAGCCTGAGCAGACTCACACACTGAGAGCATCCCAAGGTCATACCAATACAGCCCTAGACCCTCACAAGTAGGGGGCCCTACCCCGCACCCAGTACTGTAGAGGGCCCTTCTCTGGCCCTCCTCTGGCCTTGCCCCTCCCCACAGACTGAGGAGTCTGGTTGCTGTGGGATCATGTCTACTCAGGGCCTGAGACCTTCTGGGCCATATTTCATGTACCTGGGGCCCTGGAATTTTTTTTTTTTTTTTTTTAAGATACAGTCTTGTTCTGTTGCGTGCGCTGGAGTGCAGTGGTGTGATCATAGCTCACTTCAGCCTTGACCTCCTGGGCTCAAGTGATCCTCCCACTTCAACCTCCTGAGTAGCTGGGACCACAGGCACATGCCACCATGCCCAGCTAATTTAAAAAAAATTTTTTTATAGAGATAATGTCCCGTTATGTTGCCCAGGCTGGTCTGGAACTCCTGGGCTAAAGTAGTCCTCCCGCCTTGGCCTCACAAAGTTCTGGGATTATAGTCAGGAGCCACCATGCCCAGCCCAACCCTGGATTTTCTGCCCAAATGGTTAGGAGCCTCCTCCCAGGACCCATGTTGGTCTTGTTTCTAGGTGTGTCCCCCCAAAAGTGACCTGAGACTAGAGCAGGTAGGTGCAGGAGCTATCAAGTGGTAGCTCTTCGTGGACATGTGGATGGGACTTGGATTTCAGGCTGAGTATCTGTGTGCATGCACACAAGACCCCCTGCAATGCCAGACAGAATTGTTGTGGGACAGGTAAGAGGCCAGGCCATGGCCAGGGTGAACTCTTCTTAGACTGCCACACTCTGGAGTAGAACCGTGCAGAGCCCTAGAATCCTGAACTCAAATCCAGCCTCATGGGTCATATATGTCAAAGTAGGAGCATGGAACATATTTTATTGAACAGTTTGTTTGCTTGATTTATAGTGTTTAAATACTCAGACATATGGCACATGGGCCGCCATTTGGACCCGTGAGCTAGGCCTGCCTGCACAGCTGCCGTGACTGAGCCAGGGCCGGAGCCCAGGGCCACCACACGGGATCCCTCCAAGCTTATTGCCCAGAGAAGGGTAGAGATAGTGGGGCGGATGGGCTAAGAGGAGATGCAAATACTAGTGCTTTTAAGTCCACTATTAGCCAGGTGTGGTGGTGCACACCTGTAGTCCCAGCTACTTGGGAGGCTGAAGCAGGAGGATCACTTGAGTCCAGGAGTTCCAGGCTACAGTGAGCTATGATTGCACCACTGCAGAGTGAGACCCTGTCTCAAAACAAAAAATAAAAATTAAAAAATAAGAGTTCTGCTACCAGTGCTGTAGTATCTCAAACTCATTTCTAACTTGGACCAAAGACAAATGGCTGCAGAGCCTGGAGACCACTAGGATGCTGGATTTAGGGACTCCAGCTGCTCATGGGACCATCCAGGTGGGAGACAGCGTGGCTTCAGGGCCCCCTCCTGACCCCCTTCATGACGAGCCACTGACAGGCTGAGACAAGTGACAGGAGGAGGAGATGAGATGCCTGTCTTGGGTACATCTGTGGCTTTCTCTGATCCAAGAACCACATCTCACACCGCAGGCTGCAGCTTCAAGTCCATGCCTGGGGGATCTGTTTGCCCCCTTGCTGGCTGGCTAAGGGTGTGGATGGCACTGACTGGGGCACAGGCCAGGAGGCTGGATATTGGTGGGTGCTTCCCTGGGAGGCATGTGTCTCCCAGTCAAATAATAAATGCAAAAGATATTTGGTTAAAGTGTAAAGAATCAAAGAAAGAGAGAAACTCTGGGGATAGGAAATTCTTTTCAAAATCAGTGGGGTTTTGATTTTTGTTTTCAGGTGGGGGCTGTGGATTTAGAGCCCAGGGTTTCCCTTGCCTTCTGGGGACAATGTGGCAGGAGCCTGGTCCTCTCAGACTGTTGCCTCTCTGGCCAGAGATCATGTTTCCTGAGATGGGCTTGGGATGGCTTTTTCCTCTTCATAGGAAATGCTGGGCACATGAGGTAACCGCGTCTGGGCAAGAAAGAATGTGTGGCGTCGCCAGGGCATCATCCCACCAGGAGGTTGGGGAAAGGGCCTGTTGCTTGCCCATTTGTTTGTGGACAGGGCCTCCTTGGGGAGCGGAGAATGGGGCATTTGTGAGCACTTTGGGGTTCATTCTTCCTGATTTTCTGGTCATTGTGAGTGTCCAATTAGACGTGGGGCCTGGGGCCCTTTCTAATTCAGAGGGGGTGGTTCAGCTGGATTAGCCTGGAGAAGACCAATCCCACGTTGGCTTAGCTGTGGAGACCCTGGTTTGTGCCTGGAGGAGGGCAGAGACCGGCAGGATGCTGGGGAGACCTGCTGGCACCGCAGCCAAGAGCGGCAGAGAGCAGTGCTGGACTTCTGACTCTCGGCCTTGGAGGGAAGCCTCTGTTAGACCCCAGCTGGGCAGGGCAGGGCCACGCATTTCAGCAGGGCAAATCCTGTTTCCTGCAGGGGAGCTGGGGTGTCCCTTACTGCCATCACTTGACTTCCATTTGGGTTGGGTGGGCCAGTGGAGGCAGGACTTCACCCTACTGTGATCGCACAGGAATTCTGTAGGATTTTCCACTCTTTTTCCTATGGGCGTCACAGAGCCCACCAAGGGTGGGTTGGGGATTTCAGCTTCAGCCTCTTAGGGGCCTGGGGTGGTATATATGGGGCAGCTGCTTGGAGGTAAGAGTTCTGCTCCCAGCCGGCTTTCCAGCGAGCCATTTGGAGGTCGAGTCAAGTGACTTGGGGGCAAGAGTTTGGAGGAGTGTCAAGATGACACCCTGAGAATACAGTGACTATCTTGCCATTGTTGGAGAGGCCAGCTTTGGTTTGAGAAGCCCAGACAGGATGAGTCTATTTCCACAGTACTTGCCATCTCCACCAGCACCTTCCCCTTCTCCTCCCTTCAGTTTTCAGCCATTTATGGAGGTCATTTGTTTTCCAGTACTGCTGTGACAAACCACCACAAACCGTGTGGCCAACAACACAGAAATTCATCCTCTCATGGCTCTGGGGGCCAGAAGTCCAATGTCAAGGTGTCAGGTAGGCCGTGCCCCTCCACAAGCTCCGGGGAGGATCTCCCCTTTTCTCTTCCGGCTTCTAGTGGCCCCGGGTGCTCCTTGGCTTGTGGCTGCATCAGTCTGTTCTCTGCCTCCATCTTCCCAAGCCCTCTCTCCTCTCACTTATGAGTCTCTCCTCTGCGTATCTCTAATGAGGACATTTATTGCTAGATTTAGGGCCCACCTGGATAATCCAAGATGATCTCATCCTGGCACCCTTCACTGAATTATATCTGCAGAGTCCTTGTTTTGCAAATAGGGTCACACTCACAGGTTCTGGGCTTTAGAACATGAACATATCCCTTGTGTTTGGGAAGGGAGCACTATTCAGCCCTTTCTGGAGGGTTCTTATGAACAGGTACCTGGCAATGTCCTCAGATGCTCAGTGAGGACGCACCTGAGGTTCCAGTCCTGACAGCAAAGGTGACCGCCCTGGACCTCAGTCAGCTCATCTGCAGAATGGCTAGGTGAGCTCAAGGGTTTCTTCCTTCTGGCACATTCCCAGCGCAAATCCTGTCGGTCCCTCGGCATCTATGCTGCTGATTTGGGTCTACTCCAGGGCTTTACAAATATACATATCTCTAAGCATAGAACATATATTTTATTGTAGTAAAATACACATAACATAAAATTCACCATTTTAACCTTTTTGTTTTGTTTTGAGCCAGGGTCTCTCTCTGTCACCCAGGCTGGAGTGCAGTGGCACCATCACGGCTCACTGCAGCCTCCACCCGCCTCAGCCTCCTGAGTAGTCAGGACCACAGGTATGCATCACCACACCCAGCTAACTCTTGTATTTTTTTTTGTAGAGATGAAGTCTCATTATGTTGCCCAGGCTGGTCTCAAACTCCTGGGCTCAAGCAATCCACCTGCCTCAGCTTCCCGAAGTGGGATTACAGGTGTGAGCCACCGTGCCTGGCCCCACTTTAACCATTTTTAAGTGTGGAATTCAGTGGCATTAAGCACACTCATATGGTTGTGTAACCATCACCATTATCCATATCATCTTTCACAAAGATGAAATAAGAAGACTCATTCTCAGGCCCCTCGGGCCTCAGAGTGTCCTTCATGGGTAAAGCATCTTATAGAAGATGCCTCTACTACAGAGCTCACTATCCTGGTGGAGATGTGAAGATCAGGATGTTAGAAAAGGAGGCAGACAGGACTGAGGATGGTGGTGAATCCAAAGCAATACCCCCGGCTCCTCCTCCTGCAGGATCTGCCCTGTCTTGTCACCATGTCTTCTCCTTGCTGTCCACCCGTGTTCTTTTTTCCCCTCTAGACCAGAAGTTCTTAAAGCCTGGTCCCTGGACCAGCAACATCAGTACCTCCTGGGAGCTTGTTAGAAAAGCAGATTTTCTGTGCTCACCCCTACCCACTGAATCAGAAATGAGGGTGAGGTGTGGTGGCTGTTTCACAGCCCTCCCGGGATTCTGATCCATGCTAAAGAGTGGGAAGCACTGCTCCGGATCTGCAGAGAAATCCTGCTTTCAAAGAACTCACTAACGCCCCTACAAAACTACAATTTTTATGACTAGAAGCTCTGTGAATACCTTAAACAAGGAAGCTGACAGATTTAGTAAGATCGCGTAGGTCATGATCGCAAATGGGCTGCCCAAGGGCACGTCTTTCCCTTGGGTTTGTGCATTTGTCCTGCACACAATTAAAAACATTTAACTAGTTGCCAGTATTAAAGAAATAGAAACTTCCACGTAGAAATTCAGATTTTGGCATTATTTGAAATAATACTGTCTGGCAGTCCTGATATGTCTTGGCCTAGGTCCAAGCATGGGCCACCATGACTCGATGCAGGGACTGCCAGGCAGCCCAAGTCCCCCTACGCCCCAAGGCAAGTCCGCCTGGTGAGCCCACCCCCCCATTTTTATCTGCACTGACTGCTGTAGGGCTTTCGAGTTGTCAACCTCTGTATGTGAAGGGGGACCACAAACTGTAGCCCTCTGTGATTGTTAATGTTATATGTCAGCTTGGCTAGGCCACGGCATCCAAATATTTGGTCAAACACTAGTCTAGATGTTGTGAAGGTAATTTCTTTTAGGTGAGAGTAACAGTTATATCAGTGGACTTTGATGAAAGCAGATTGCCCTCCATAATGTGGGTGGGCCTCATCCAATCAGTTGAAGGCCTTCAAAGAAAAAAGACTGACTCCCTGCAGGAAGAGGGAGTTCTGCCAGCCTCCACGGTCACATAAGCCAATTCCTTAAAATAAGCCCCTCTCTCTCTCTCTCTCCTCCTCTCTCCACACATGCATACAAAACACACACACACACACACACACACACACACACACACACAAATGGTTCTATGTCTCTGTAGAATCCTGACGAACAACCCATGCTGTGAGTATTATTATTTGTTGGTGACCCTGGACCATTCAGGCACCAAGAGGTGCAGGAACTCTTCTTCCGTTTGCTGGCAGCTCTTAGGGATACACGCTCATTCAAACCATGCCCTCAGAGATGGAGGCTGCAAAGCTAATGAGTAGTATTATAATATTAATAACAAGAAATAAATAATCCATAAAAATAATTATGTTTATTTATTTATTTATTTATTTTTGAGATGGAGTTTTACTCTTGTTGCCCAGGCTGAAGTAAAATGGTGCAATCTCGGCTCACTGCAACCTCCGCCTCCCAGGTTCAAGTGATTCTCCTGCCTCAGACTCCCGAGTAGCTGGGATTATAGGCATGCGCCACCACGCCCGGCTAATTTTGTATTTTTAGTAGAGATGGGATTTCTCCATGTTGGTCAGGTTGGTCTCGAATTGCTGACCTCAGGTGATCCGCCTGCCTTGGCCTCCCAAAGTGCTGGGATTATAGCCATGAGCCACCGTGCCTGGCCAACAATGATGTTTATTAACAATAACACTATTAACATGTTGAGTGTTTATTCTATGCCAGACACCATGCTAAATGCTTTCTTTCTTTCTTTTTGAGATGGAATCTTGTTCTGTCGCCCAGGCTGGAGTGCAATGGCGCAATCTCGGCTCACTGCAAACTCCACCTCCCAGGTTCAAGCGATTCTCCTGCCTCAGCCTCCTGAGTAGCTAGGATTACAGGTGCCTGCCACCACGTCCAGCTATTTTTGTATTTTTAGTAGAGATGGGGTTTCACCATGTTGGCCAGGCTGGTCTCAAACTCCTGACCTTGGGTGATCCGCCTGCCTTGGCCTCCCAAAATGCTGGGATTACAGGCATGAACCACTGCACATGGCCAAGGCTTTTTTTAAATTAAATTAAATTTAATCCTTGGAGTAGCCTATGGCACAGGTACTATCATCACTAAACCTATTTTACTGATGGAACAGTCACAGAGAGGAAGTAACTTGGTCAAGGTCACCTAGCTCATGAGTGGCAACAAGATTTGAACCCAGAGCCAGACTTCAGGGCTCATGTTCATTAACCACTTAACCATGCTGCCATGCTAGAGTGTGTACTTCACCCTGAGTTTCCCAAATGACGGCGTGCAATAGAATCAATTCTCTGGGGGTAAAGAAATCTGAGAACTTGCATTGTGATTCAGGCAGTCCTTGGACTTCAGCTTGCCATGTGTAGCTGCACTAGTTGTGCACCATATAATTGTACTCAGTGGTACCAATGCAAATACTGTTGTAGGCAATGGAGAGAAAGATAGCTGATGTTCCTCACCTGTCCTGGAGGTGAGAGAGGTGCTGGTATAGTCACACAATGGAACACTTTACAGCAATAAAAAAGAACAAACAATACACGCAACATTATGGATGAATGAATCTAAAAAATTTATTGAGAAAGAAGGCACCAAACAGTATATATTATATTAGTCCATTTATAGTGGAGAAACCTGGTAGGTACCAAGTTAGCCACATGATCAGGTTAACATCATTAGTAACAAGACACATTAACGTAGTGAGCTCTTTGATATAAGGACATACACCATTTTAATGGTATTCTTGCCAAAAATGCATACTCTCACTCCAATCATGAGAAAACATTGAACAAACCCAAACTGAGGGATATTCTACAAAATTACTGACCAGTACTCCTCAAAAGTGTCAAAGTCATTAGAGACAAGAAAAGACTGAGGAACTGTCACAGACCACAGGAGACAAAGAAAAAATAACAATGAATGCAGTATGGGATCACGAATAAAATTCTGCAACAGAAAAAGGGCATTTTCAGAAAAATTGGTAAAATTTAAGTAAGGCCTGCTATTTAGTTAACTAACATTAACTTCAATTCACCGGTGATAATTTTCTTGTAATCATGCTGTGGTTATGTCAGATGCTAGGGGAAGCAGGCTGAAGAATATAAGGGAACTCTCTGTACTATTTTTTGCAGCATTTCTCTAAATCTAAAATTAAACTAATTTAAAATTAAAAGTTAAAAGCCAAAACAACACAATAAGCCAGGCAACGAGCTACCTGGCTCCATTTCCTCTGTGCTCAGTGGACCCTGGAAAGGAGGGAGCAGGGTCTGGGGCCAGGCAGGTAAACACAGGTAGGACTTGCTTCTCTGATCAGACCTAGCCCCTTTCCCAGACACCAAGCAACTCACCTGACTCTTCCAGCTCAAAGACAGTCCGTGCTGTCAGCCAGCTGCCTCCCACGGGCCACCAGTGCCACCACACTGAAGGAACCATGGAGCCACCTGGAAAAGTCAACCGAGAATTAGACATAACAATTTGGTTCTGCAAGGAGAGGAAACCCTTGGTCCTGGGATTCAGCCTTCAGGCTGTTATTAGCATTTATGGATGAAAGCTTCCTCTCAAGCATGGGTTGGTTGTGAATGCTTTTCCAGAGACATGGAAATGCAGCCAATGAGGACGTTTTTAAGTTCTCAGTTTTCCACCAGAGGACGGCTGCGCTCCCTGGTTTCAGGAGGGCACTGGGCTGGGGTGTGGATGTACCCAGGCGCTGTGGCCTCTTTGTGAGTTGCCTTCCTGGTATGCTGTAGGGATGAAGGGATGTGGGGGGGGTGCTCTGACTGAGCCCAGGGAGGGTGTCTGCCTCACCAAAAAGAGGAAGAAGGCAGAAAGAGGACCATGTCTCTGTGGTGAAGAGATGGGGTGATGGCAGCCTGCTCTCTCCTCCTGCACAGGGACTAGCGATGGACTTGATGCGCCTGCCTCTTCCCTCCCTGTGACACCCATTCCCCCATCCTCACCTGAGACCACAATGTGTTGTGTTTGGCACCCAAGCCTTCTGGTTTCCAGTGAGTTCTTGGTGCTCACCAGGCCTCCTGAGGGGCCTCCCTTGCTTGACACAGGGCAGAGGAGCAATGACTGGACCTGGGTCCCAAGGGCTGGGCATTCCCCTGGGCCGGGTACCCCTGTCGGCTGGGCACCCCTGTCAGCTCAGCACCCCCCTGGGCTTGGCACCACTGTGGGCTGAGCCTCTGCTAGGAGTCCAGGCCCCTCTTAGGTGAGAGCTTGAAACTGACCTCACAGGGGAGAATTTTGTGCGCCTTTCTTGTTCCTTTCAACCCTCCAGGACTATTATTTGGAAGAAGTATAGGCAGATTCCACTACATGGTTACCAGTCTGAGTGTCTGGAAGAGCATATTTGAAACTTGGGGATCCTCTTGAGTCTTCAGGATCCCTGGATAAGCGGCTCCAAACTCCACAGAGAAGCAGCTGGTCTCCTTCACTGAGAAATCCCTCAGATCCTCTTCTCTGTGGATTTCAAAAGACAGGCCATCTCCTCCCATTTCAATACACATTTCTCACTTGATTCTAGAACTTTCTTGTGCACTTCAGTCTTAGCTTCTCCCAGAACCCAACCTAAGGTTAATTGGAGCTTTAGTGGTCAGTGGGGTTTTCCCAGAAGCAGCCCTACAACAAGAATGTTGAAGATAAACATTTGATTTGGGAGGTGATCCCGGGAAGTAATGGTATAAAGACCAGGACTGATCATGTGACCACCGTGGGCGACTAAGGCTCCAGTGCTGCAGACTCTGGGGCAATGCCTGAGTTATTCCTCTAAGGGGTGAGGGGGTAGCCACATGTGTTATCATCCACTGTTGCACACAATTTGGATACCCCTGGACGGCCACATCTGCATGTGGGTGAGGTGAGCTCAGGAGAAGAGACACAGGTGCTGGCAGCCAAAGTGAGTTCATGCTCCCTGATGTGGCATGGCCTGAGGGCATGGGTAGGCACTGCCAGCAGCTTCTACACCTTCTGGGGGAGGAACACAGCCTATCTAAGGCTGGAATAGATTGTTCAAACTGTTCCATGTGGCAGGAGCCAGGGCTGCAATAGAAAAGAAGATTCCAAAAGGCTCTCTAGAGAAGGCTGGGCAAACAGAGCTGGATGCGAAGTGAGAGAAGGTTTATTATAACTCAGCACAAGCCCATCCCATCCACATTCCAGGCAAATCCACCCCATAGAGACAGGTTGTCCTGCCATGCGGCCGAGCCACAGCAGGCCTCTGGGCGCCAAGAGCCTGGGCTGGAGCATAGAGGATGTGGAGCCCCACTCTGTAGGTTCTGGGACTCCTGAGTTTGTTTCGGCCCCCACAGAGCTGTCCTGGCTATGGTTCCCAGAGAGCCTCACTGCATAAGGCTGCCCTTTTTCTTTTCTTCCTGTGAATAGCACCAAGCCATTTTGAAACAAGAATTCCTTAAAATAGTTTTTGTTTAAAGAAACAAGAAGCACCATCTCTTTATCGACTGTATGTTAACAGCAGTCAGCCAGTGAGCAGAAGCTTCTTTCAGCTTCAGGGCCTGAGGCTTGCAGGGGGACCCCCAGACCTCACCCACCCAGGGAGCTGCTTTCTCATAGGCACATCCCACAAATACTCCAGACACTAGATGACATTTTTATAGGTTTCTGTTTCCCTATATAGTGAAGTTGTTATTGCAGAAATGAGAGGACACTTTTGCAAATGACCAGAAGTCTGCACTTTCTAGGGGTGTCTTCTGGAGCTGCACTGAGCCACCGAGCAGCGCTGTCTGATAGAACCTTCTGCACTGATGGCAATGTTCTTGCACCACGAGTGGTCGCTGAGCACGCAACATGTGGGTACTGTGACCGATAAATTAAATGTTTAATTTCATTTAAATCAAATTAATTTAAATCTTTACACATAGCCACATATGGCTACTGACCTGGGCAGTGCAGCTTATGAGCAAAGGACACCCTGAACTTGGGCTGCCTCCGGTTGGGGCTGAGTTTGGGACGTAAGTATATGCACAGTTACATGGGTGCCCCTGGTGTGTGTCACACACGGCTGGAGTCCAGAAAGAAAGCAGCAATGGTTTCTTCTCCAGCTGAAGTCTTTTCTAGGATTGAGTCCAAGTTGCAGAGGTTTATGCCCTGCCCTTGGCCTGGGGTGATGACCTTGACCCTGGTCATCAGAGCAGCCAGGAAGAGCTCAGATTTAATGTCTGCTAGTGTCAAGAGCTTTCATGCAAGCAGTCTTCTTCGCCTCTGGGACACTCGGCTTGGGGGTTGTGTGTTTACCCACCCCCCACCCCCCAACCTTATCTTGGGGAGGAAATTGAGGCTCAGAAAATGTCAGTGCTCTGCCTGAGCTTCTCAGTGAAAAAGTGGTCAAGTCAGGATTCGAACCCAGGTCCACTGAGGCCCATGATACCCAGCACTCAGAGTTGTGCTTTTTCCTTGGCAGTAAGTGCTGCTGCCGTGAACTTTCTCCCACACTTTTTCTTGCAGTTCCTGAGCAACCGGACATACACTGGGCTCTGGTTGCTGGGACACCAGAGTTGAGAGGTCAGCATAGGAGGCTCCACTCACTTCGGTCCTGTGACAATGGACTCATGACCATTCATGACATCTCCAGCCTTGATGCCCCACCCCCACTACTGCCCATGAGTCTTATGTTAAAAATAACAATGAACGACAAGAACTGGGGCTCTGCAGTCAGAAGGACAACATATGTTTTCCATTTTCTTCTTTCTCTTCCCTGCTTCTCTAAAAGTGGATTAAATATGAAAAAGCACTTCCCGAACGCTTGGGAGACACTGGGAAGGATTGTCCAATGGAGAAATTATTCTCCAGAGAATTTCTTAAAAGCCACTTGTTTTTAAGAAAACACATAAAACTCTTAATTATAAAATTCACACATATTCGTTAAAGAAAACTTGGAAAACACAGATGAATATAAAGAAAGAAAAATGCATTGACATTCTACTCAAAGAATCTTCACTAAACGTTTGCTATAGTCCTTTTCAATTTTTTTTTCCTATGCACAAAAAATGTATATTTTTGTTTGCCTGCTGTAGTTATAACTATATATTTTAGGGTGATTGTATGATTGTGGTGGGAAGATTCAAACCCTCCCTGGGGTCAAAGGAATGATTTGAGATCCCTACTTTTCAAACCTTCTGGGTATAAAGGACCTGTTTTTTTTTAAATTTCCAACCCATCACTGACCACATATGAAGCAGCACGCTATGTGTCACTGACCTTGTGGGTTCACTGTCGCCCCACCTGGGTCATGTTGAGTCCAGCAGACACTTGATTGGGTGCCAGAGCAATGTCAGATTGCTCTAAAAGTTTCTAAGCAATCACTCTGCTTCCACACTGATTTCTTTATGGCAGAACTGGCCTGACCATGATCACCAAACTACAGCCCTTGGGCCAAATCCTGCCTACCACTAGGTGTGAGCTAAGGATGGTTTTTATATTTTAAATGGTTGGGGGAAAAAATCAGAACAATGTTTCATGACATGAAAATTCCAAGAAATTCAAATTTAAAAAATTCAAATTTCAAAAATCAATGAAATTCAATTTTGAAAAGTCTCTTCGAGATAGAGCCATGCTCATTCCTTTGCACATATGTGGCTGCTTTCTCAGTACAACGACAGAATCAAGTCGCCGAGACAGGGACCGACCATCCTGGCCTAAAATGCCTGAAATATTTACCATCTGGCTCTTTACAGAAAAGTTTTGCTGACCCTGATCCAGTTCAATGGTTCCCACATTTGCTGCTTTTTATAATCATTGGAAACTTAAAAAAACAGTACAGCTCGCCAGTCCCCTCCCCGCCCCAGGTGACTGTGACGTCAGCAGTTCTGGGACGCAGCAGCCAGGTGTGCCCTCAAGCGGCTTTCCCAGGACGGGGCCCGCGGCTCTGTTCAGAGTCTCCTTTGGGACAAAACCCCTTGTGTCCCGAGCTGCTCCAAATGTGGTCCCCGCCACAACATTCCCCGTGGGTCCAGCCCTTTCCGGGCACCCTGTAGCTGGGGTTCACTTCCTCCTCAGCCCTCTGCACCATGACCTCGGCCTCCTTCTTCCTCGCAGCCTGCAGCAGGCCCCCTGGGCTTTCCCGATGTCACCCCAGCCAGGGCCTCCTCGGGCTCTCCCCAGCAGAGGGTTTCTAGAATTCTTGGCCTGCCCCCCCGGGGCGGCTGGGAGGAGCAGCCTGGCCCCACGTCCTGAGGGCCCGGCCACAGGGCTCGCCTCGTCTGGGCCCCACGCAGCTCCCACCCTCTGGTTTATGCTTCTGGCACCAGCACTGGAGTCCTGAGCCAAATGCACACATGGCCTGAGCAGTTCTGTGGGGGAGTGGAGAGGAGTGAGCTGGAAGGGAGAGAGCTGATAAAGCCGCGTCTCTGCCTGTGCGGATTCCTTGTCTTTCCTGAATTCCTTCCTCACTCCTCCATTTTTATATTTCTCATTCCTTTCCTCCTCGCTCCGTTCCCTCTTCCTTCTTTCTCCTCCTTACCCTGCTACTTCTCTCTCTGGCATTGTTACCCCTCCTGCCTTGAGTTTTTGAGTCAGATCTGCTACTTCTAGGACAACCCCCTCTTCCTGAATGGGATGTGGGACACAGCGGCTCAGGCTTCGGGGCTGGAAATGTGCTCACTTTATTCAGGGAAAATGTGTTCCGGTCCTGTCCTCAGAGAGCTCACAGTTTATGAGAGAGCCAGACAAGCCGCAGGCAATTTTATGTGTACATATGTGCTATTTGTTTGTTTGTTTGAGACAGGGTCTTGCTCTGTCGCTCAGGCTGGAGTGCAGTGGCAATCTTAGCTCACTGCGGCCTCAACTTCCTGGGCTCAAGCAGTCCTCCTGCTTCAGCCTCTCAAGTAGCTGGGACAACAGGCACCCCTCACCACACCCAGCTAATTTAAAATTTTTTTGTTGTTGAGATGGGGTCTCGCTATGTTGCCCAGGCAGGTTTAGAACTCCTGGCCTCGAGTAGTCTCCCTGCTTCGGCCTCCCATGGTGCTAGGATTACAGGTGTGAGCCACTGCACCTGGCCATGTGTTGTTTTTAAAATTTTTCTTTAATTGAAAAACAATAATTGTATATATTTATGAGTTATGATGTGATGTTTTGATATGTGTATACATTGTGGAATGATTATATCAAGCTAATTAACATATCTATCACCTCACATATTTACCATTTTTTTTGTAGTGAAAACATTTAAAATCTATTATTTTAGCAATTTTGAAATACACAATGCTTTATTATTAACTGTGGTCATCATGCTGTGCAATAGCTCTTAAAAACTTATTCCTGGCCGGGCACGGTGGCTCACGCCTGTAATCCCAGCACTTTGGGAGGCCGCGGCGGGTGGATCACAAGGTCAGGAGATCGAGACCATCCTGGCTAACACGGTGAAACCCCGTCTCTACTAAAAATACAAAAAATTAGCCAGGCATGGTGGCGGGCGCTTGTAGTCCCAGCTACTCAGGAGCCTGAGGCCGGAGAATGCGTGAGCCCCGGAGGCGGAGCTTGCCGTAAGCCGAGATCGCACCACTGCCCTCCAGCCTGGGCCACAGAGCAAGACTCTGCCTCAAAAAAAAAAAAAAAAAAAAAAAAAAAAACTTATTCCTTCAGTCTAACTAGAAATTCATATTATTTGGTCAACGCCCTCCCCGCTTGCCCCCAGCTCCTGGTAACCACCATTCCATGCTCTATTATTATAAATTCAACCTTTTTAGATCCTCAGATGAGTGAAATCTTGTGCTATATGTCTCCCTGTGCCTGGCTTATTTCACTAAGCACAGTGTCTTCCAGGTTCACCCGTGTTGTCACAAATGACAGGATTTTATTCTTTTTAAAGGGATAATAGTGCTCCATTGTGCATATAACCACCTTTTCTTTATCTCTTCCTCTGTCGATAGACACAGGTTGGTTCCATATATTGGGAATAGTGCTCAATGAGCATGGGAGCGCAGACATCTCAGACACACTGACTTCATTTCCTTTGGCTATATGCTCAGTGGTGGGACTGCTGGATATGGTAATTCTATCTTTCAGTTTTTTTTTTTTTTTTTGAGACAGAGTCTCTGTCTTTCGCCCAGGCTGGAGTTCAGTGGCACGAACTCAGCTCACTGCAAGCTCCACCTCCCAGGTTCACGCCGTTCTCCTGCCTCAGCCTCCCGAGTAGCTGGGACTACGGACACCCGCCACCAAGCCCGGCTAATTTTTTTTTTTTTGTATTTTTTAGTAGAGACGGGGTTTCACCATGTTAGCCAGGATGGTCTTGATCTGCTGACCTCATCATCCACCCGCCTCGGCATCCCAAAGTGCTGGGATTACAGGCGTGAGCCACCGCGCCCGGCCTATCTTTCAGTTTTTTAAGCAATCTTCATACTGTTTTCTGTAATGACTGTCCTAATTTAATTCCCACCAATAGAACCATAGGCTATTTAAATAGTGCCCTAAGGGGCAGCCTAGGGGTAAGAACAGGGCACTTGGTCAGGTAGCACCCAGCAAGAGCCCATCCTGGCTGTGTGTTATGTAAGGGGGAAAAGGTGATCAACTCAGTGCAGGGAATGCTGGAACTAAGTCATGTTCAGGGTAGACAGTGGCATCTGCCCATGGAAGCCGTGGACATGCCCCTTCTTAAGACCCATGGACACTCCCCTCACTGAAACCCACAACATGGTCTTAAGTAAGGGAGGCTCAGGAGCAGATTTATACTTTAGAAAACTCATCCTGGCTACAGTGGGGAAAGTAGAACTGGGGGGTACCAATCTAAAGTCAGGAAGGCCATTCTAATCCAGAGAGATGAGGCAGGCCTAAACTCGGGCTGGAGAGGAGGGAGCGGCTTTGAGGGATATTTAGGATTTGGGGGTTGGAAGTGAGGCATGAGGGAAAGTCATGATGAGGAAAGGATGACATCCAGTTTCTAGTGTGGTTCTCTCAGTGGATGGTGTTCTGTCAGTTACTTCTGTAATAATGCTGCATAACCAATAAGCCCACAGTCTCAGTGGTTTACATCAACAAAGATTTTATTTCACATCCATGAGACTGAAGGCTGGCTGCCGTTGGCTGATCTTGAATGGGCTTGTCTGGGCCAGACTTCTGATTGGGTTCAGGATGTTCCACATGACCTCATTCTGGAGCCTAAGCCAAAGGGCAGTAACTATCTGGTGGAAAATCATGGGAGGGAAGATCACACAAGCATCTTTAAAATCTCATCTTGCATCACATCCAGGGCAGAGGTAAATCAAGGCCACCAGAGGAAAGAGGAGATAAGGTCACTAGGGGCTGAGGGCTGGGGCTGCTGGCTGGAATATCTGTCTGGGTTTCCTCTTATCCCTAGGCCAACCGAGGTCACAGTTGTGATGTGTTTCTCAAGTCTTTAAAACGATGCCAGGGAACAGAGATGTGGTTATCAGAATTAGGTACAATGAAAGTCTTTTTCCCTCCAATAAATATTGGATGCACATCCACTACGTGCCAGATGGACCATTTCCTCCTGTGAGGTAGGCATGGCAGCTGGAATCAAGGCCTAAGTTTAAAGCTGTGTCATGGAAAATAGGTTTCTGGTGTCCTAAGGGTTAGTTGTACCATCAAATAGAATTTCCATGGGAATTTCAGAATAATCAATTATGTACACTTTATGAATTTAAAATTGTAGTTGGCTAAAATAGAGACCTGAAAAATAGTGGCTTAAATCCCCAAGTATTTATTCTCTAATTTGTTAGGAAGTTTGGAGATAGGCAATCCAGGGCAGAACCCAAGCTTGTTATGTCTTTCTGCTCCGTTGTCTGCAGCTTGCAGCTTCTACCCTCAGACTCACCTCATGGTCCAATATAGCTGCTAGAGCTCCAGCCATTCGATGAGATATAGGCTAGAAGAAGGAGGTAAGGCAAAAGGGATATTTTTCTCAATTGAGACAGGTTTCTCTAAAGCAGGCTTCCTGGAAACTCCATAAAACATTAAGGCTTACATCTCACTAGTCACATGACCACACTAGCTGCAAGAGAGATTGGGAAATTTGGTTTTAGCTAGATACATTGCTTCCCTGAGTAAAGTCAACATTCTGTTTTCAAGCCACAAAGGGAAAATAAATATTAAGGGGCAACCAGCAGTTTCTACTGCACCCTCTAAGTGTGTGTGTGTGTGTGTGTGTGTGTGTGTGTGTGTGTGTGTGTTCCCTCAGAGGGACAGAATTTAGCAGAAAGAACCCTGTATTAAACTCAAGACCCATGGACTTATTTTCCTATTTCTCTATTACTGGCTACATCAACAAGGCAAAGTCATATAATCTCTCTGAGGCTTCAGGTTCCTTTTCGGCAAAATGTACTATTGATCATCTTTCCTTCCAGTGTTATCAAAATAACCAAATAGGACCAAGAACTCTATGAATTTTAACATGATATTAAAAAATTAATAATAAATACCCGTTTGGACTAGAAGCGCCCTTTGACCCACTGCTGTCCACACCAAGCAGGCTGTTGTGCTCTCACAGAGCATAGCTGGAGGGTAGGAGTGGGGCAAGACTAAGTATGTGGATGGAGTTGGCCCTGTTGAGGCAGATGGTATCCTAATTCCTTATGGACAGTAAGTACCTTAGGAGAATGTTTACTTGTGGATGGTTAGTCTTGATCCAGTGGTTTCCAACCGCTCCAGTTGACTATGCTGTATAATAGACACTAACCCCAAAGCCTACTGGCTTAAAACAATAATTTGTCATCTTTCTGGTTGACTGGGCTCAGTAGGGCAGTTTTCACTTAGAGTCTCTCATATATTTACTGTCGGATGTCAATGGGGGTTGCAGTCATCTGAAGGCTCAACTGGGCTGGACCTCCAGGGAGGGTCTCCCAACATGGTCAGCAGTTGATGCTGGGAGAGTAGCTGAGCTATACACTCAACCCCTCTTCATGTGGTCTCTGCACATGGCTTTGGCCTCATTGCATAACAGCTGGGGTCTGAGCAGGAATGTTCCAAGAGCAAATCTTTCAAAAGGAAAAGAACAGAAACTGTCATTTCTCCTATAAGCTAGACTAGAACTGGCACGTGTCACTTCTGCCCAGATTCAAGAAGGTAGAAAACACACTCCCTTTCTTTATGGGGGAATAGCATGCCTGTTGGGAAGGGTGGGAACTGATGGCAACATCTTAGAGACTGGCTACCACATCTACATTGGCTGAACATTGAAATCCCCTGAGTGATTTCACCTGAGTGATAAAACAAAGGCCAGGTGCATCCCCAGAGACTGCGGTGATTGACGATCTGGAGTGTGGCCTGGTTATTATGATATTTCAAAGCTCCAAAGGTGATTCCAATGTGCAGTCAAGGTTTAGATCCATTGGCTTACTCCAATACCACCATCTCCCCTGCCCCCCGCAAAAAAGACCCAGACCCAGGAAGGGAAAGAACTCAAGGCTTAGTCCATGAGACCCAGGAGGTTCTTAATCAGACATTCAGTATGCTCTGCTCCACCCCGTCCCCTTGCTGGTTTGGTCCCATGGGACTTTCTGCATCGAGGTAGCTCCTGTGGTCAGGGAATAGAACAACGTGGAAGCCAAGGTGGAAAGAGTTATTAAATGTGAGTGGGGATAGTAGAGTTCATAAAACTGCCTGGATATCTCCTTAATCCCAGGCTTTTGATCTGTAGTTGGTAGTTTGGCCAGTTTTTCCCATTGCTTTCACCAGGAATTTTGTGTCAGAACACAAGTTCCAACAAAAATGCCAGAAATCCCATTTTAAGAGCATTTTGAATCAATCAGACTACGAATAGTTAACATACCTTTCCCCCAAATGGGCAGTACCTAAAGGAAGGTTTCAAATACCTTCATTCCAGGAGCATGCTTATGAATATTCATATTCTGCCTGCTAGTGGTTTCACACATTAGAAAATACCATTTATTCCTAAGGCTAATGAGCTCTTAAATTTCCTTTGTGCTGGGGAAAGAGGTTTTATTTTTCTGGGTAGTTTATTTTCGGTGTCTGTCCATTTTCTGGAAGGGCCCTTTCCTTTAAAACTCTAGGCACGTTTCAAGAGCAGAGTGGAACTGTAAATAATTTCCCACGCAGAGAAGCCCACCAGCCTGGTGATAACATTAACGAAGGCTGCACAAAGTGGTTGGGAGGCAAGAGGATGAGAAGTTAGCTGTGAGCCCAGTTCCCAGGGAGATTCATATCGAATGGGGACCACATAATCAACACCCCTGTGAAATGCATAAAACCATGCAACGAAAGACAGTTGCAGAAATGTGAATGTGGACAGTACATAATTGGCATCTAAGGCTCTCAGGCGTTAAATGAACCTTATAAAATATCTTGTCTAGTGACCTATCATACGTTGGAACTTCCCTGTTACACTTCTGCTGAAATGGCTCAGAAGAGGGGAACTGTTTCCTCTCTCTCGTCTTTGTCCAGTCTGGTGGTTTGATAGGCCTTCCTTACATTCATCCACATACTCTCTCTACACCTGCCACCCTGTACCATGAACCACTCACTCATTGGCTTTTGGCTCCATTCCTGTCCTCAGTGCTCTGCTCTCTGCCAAAGGGGCTGGAACCCTGCATTTCCCAGGTTATCTTGCCCGCTGGCTTCTGCTTAGGCTTAGTCAATGGGAGGCACTGGAGAGATACTGGAAGGCAGAAGAAGGGGAAGCTAATCTTGTTCTCTCTGTATCAGACTGACCCTCCAGCAGAAGCAGCAATGAATACAAGTCCCTGGGTTCCTGCTCTGGCAGCTCCAGCAGTCTAGTGACTGATGGCTCTGGGTATTCTATTTTTCCTGTTGCTCTTCTAGTGCCAAGGTTGACTGTGACTTCCTACAGTTACTAATCTTTGGGTATCCTTACCTTTCCAACTCTCTCAATACTTTTGTAAACAGTTCCCTACATTCAATTCCTTCTATTTGAGATATCTAAGAGGTTCCTATTTCCCTAACTGGACACTGATTGACATACTATTAGGGAATTTCTAGAGTTGTATAAAGATTTATGTATCTTCCAGATAACAGCAAATATTTGAGCATGGCTATACTGTTCTCTTCCAGTTTTATCTTTATCATGTCACATTTCCTCAGCCCTGCATCAAATGCCTCTTCTCTTATCTTGTGGCTTCCAGATCTGCCTCCATCCCAGCTACTTTCTTCTGAGCCCACTTCATTTGGCTACTGCTTGTTTCAAGTGACATCCACAGTTGGATGGGCCCCAGCCATGATCAATCCAGGATAAGGACAAGGGAACTTTCACCTTCCTCCACCTTCACACTAGCCTTCATGGGATTAACCTATTGTCTTAGTTCATTTGGGACTCTGTGCCATGGACTGGGTGGCTTAAACCACAGACATTTATTTTTCATGGTTCTGGAGGATGGGAAGTCCAAGATCAAGCTGCCAGTCAACTTGGTTGAGGGCTCCCTTAGTTTACAGAGGGACCACCTTCTTGCTGTGTCCTCACATGGTGGAGAGAGAGATCTCTTGTCTCCTCCTCTTTTTATAATGGTATGACCTAATCTAACCCAAATGACCTCCCAAAGGCCTTACGTCCAAGTATCATTGCATTGGAGATTAGGAATCAACATATGAATTTGGAGGGGCACAGATATTTAGTACACATCACCTGTGATGCTGCTGGAAGTCAGCAGGCACACCACATTGCTGACACTTGAAGCTACCCCATATGTCTTTGTCAGTGTTTTTTGTTGTTGTTGTTTTGTTTTGTTTTGAGAAGGAGTTTTGCTCTTTTGCCCAAGTTGGAGTGCAGTGGCGCCATCTTGGGTCATGAGTAGTTGGGATTACAGGTGCCTGCCACCATGCTTGGCTAATTTTTGTATTTTCAGTAGAGATGGGGTTTCACCATGTTGGCCAGGCTGGTCTCAGACTCTTGACCTCAAGCAATCTGCCTGCCTTGGCTTTCTGAAGTGCTGGGATTACAGGCGCTAGCCACTGCGCCCAGCCCATCAGTGTGTTCTTGATAAGCCTTCGCTTGTCCATCTTATGCTTGTGTTGTTGTTTTTGTTTTCCTTTTGGGCCCTAGCTCCAGGCTGTTACACTAACTCCCACCGGCCTGCAGCAGGATCCTTCAGTCCACTGCTCTGCAGAGTTTATTGAGGCTCCTCATTCTGTTGCTCAGCACACTTGCTACTTACTCTCCACGGTTTCCTGTCTACTGCATACTTGCCAAGAATGACCTTTACCTTATTATCTCAGTCACTGATTTAAAATGATTGAACAGAACCTGGCATTCCATAAGTTGCCCACTCAACAGTCATTGCCCATTTCACTCACTTTGCTGACTAAACCCTGATTTGGGGGTGGGGGAGTGGGCAGTGAGCTCAACTTCCAAAGATGTAACTGCCCTGCTGCACTTTGCAGATGCTCACTGTTTCAACTCCTCCAGGGCAGCTGGAGGCAGGGGTGGGGCAGGTAACTCAGGTATGGTCAAGAGGAAGTCTACTGGGGAATTTCTGGCAAGATTTTCCCTCCTTGATAAAAAGAAGAGCTGTCTTACTTTGTCCCCACCCCCAAACCCTCACCGAAGCATTCCCTGAAACAAGAATTATAGGGTAAGTAGTTTTCTGGGAACATAATCCCAGGAAAACACTAGCAAGGGAGTAGGGAAGTGAGACAGGGAAGGAAAAATATTTAACAAAGCGTGCATTATAGAGCAGGTTTTACTGTGGAGAACTAAGCTTAATCATGCAGGGACATTTTTGGAAAAGGTGTAAGTCACATGCCTTGTGGTTATCCCTTGGAGCAATGAGGGAACTAAGGTACTTTTATAGCTACTCCCCCTCAATCATTGGTTAGGACTTTCTCTGGAGGAATATGAATTTTGGGGGGCACTTCTGACCTGATGTCCATGGGCAGAGCAGTTTTCTGAGGTTTTAGGGAAAAGCCCTCAGGTTAAGGCAGTTTGGAATTGACTGGAGCCTACTGAAATAATAAAATGGAGGGATAGGCGATGAGCTCCAATAATGTCTGCTGTAATGCCCCTGCCCCACTATGCTTCCTGACCTTGTATGTGGTTGTGATGTTGGGGGCTGCAGCAGCCATCTTGTGACCAGAAGGTGATAAGCAAGAGGCTGACAAACCAACACACTGAGGTTGGCAGTGGAGAAATAACAGAAAAACCCAGGGTCCTTTCCCTTGTCATTGGGCTGCTACTGCAAAATCTCCTCCCACAGCCTTCTTATTTTATGAAAGAATTGTGTTTTCATTTTTTTTCAGCCAGTGTTACTTGGGCGTCCTGTTCTTTGTAGTTAAGTAAATTTCATCTGGAACAGCTCTACAGGATGAGTGGATGAGAAGGTCCCAGGCAGAGTCTGCCTGAGCAGCTCACTACTCTCATAACTGAATCCTTGCACCAGGGTTTGTTTTGAGGGAACACAAATTAAAACACACGCTTGATAAGACCTTTAAATAAGAAACAGATGGATGGGTCCCTGAATGGAAACCTGGATGGGTAAAACTTCAATCTCTCCATGTTAAGTAATTGATTAAATTCTTATCCCTTGTGGTGCAGGAGGAAAGCAGTTATGCCGAACAGCGTGGCTTTTTCAGGAAAAGAAATAATTCCAGGGAGGCACAACTGAAATGTCTTTTTTTGGTCAGGACCCTTTTGGTTGCAAGTGACAGAAATGCAACTCAAATAAACATAAAGGGAATGTGTTTGTGTTGACTCTAGTAACCACCAGATTCCAAAGTCATAGCTGGATTCAGTGGCTCTGATGATATGGGCTCTCTCTCTCATCTCATCTTACCTCTATTTACCTTCATTCTGCATGCAAGCTCTGTTCACGTGGCAGACAAAATGCCAGGCATTTGCAGCCCCACCCTGCCAGTGAATAACCCAGGTGTACAAGCTTCATTTACGGTCTCTCCCATATCAACCTCAGAGTGTTTGATGTGGTGGAGTTGGGTGTCGTGATTTTCAAACCCACCAGAACTGTGTCATGAATGGGACCTCCCCAGAGGAACCAGCAGAAGAGGAATAGAAAAGCAGCCTGGAAAGAAAGTTGCTTGGCTGCTATTAGCCCTGTCAGCTTCCTGCTCATTGACAGGGATAGTTCTTGTATTGCATTATCGGATGCTCCGTAGCTGCCGGCAGCTTTAACCCTCTCATCCTCTTCCATGGTGTTGGGATGGGGGACACATGCATGTTCTTGCTTCCTTTCCAGCCACTCCCTTTCCTAAATCCAAATGTATCTCTGATTTAGATGCAGTGGTACATGCCTGTGATCCCAGCAACTTGAGAGGCTGACGCAAGAAGATTACTGGAGGCTAGGAGTTCAAGACCAGACAGGGCAACATAGTGAGGCCCCATCTCTAAAAAATAAAAATTACAATTAAATGTATCTCAGGATGCCCCTGACACAAAGACTTGAGCTTAGGCCATTTATTTGAGAGATGACCCCAGGATGCACTGGGAGGGAAGAAGTGAGGCAGGGAAGGAAAGAAAATCAAGAAGGGGGTGTATTAGTGAGAGAAGGAAATAGGGCTCAGGTATCCCTGTGGGCCTTCTAAGACACTGTATAAAGTTTTATCAAACCAAACTATCCCTCAAAACTGTACACAGAAAGGCAAGGACACAAGAGTCCTTTTCACTACCTCCTAGCAGTCCTCCTTGCTTGGAGGCTGCCCCTAGGAGCAGTCTTGCCCTGGTTTCTCTAGCCTGTGTTGAGTGTGAGCTGAACACTCTGGGGTGGGAGGTACTGGGGCAGGGGCATAGAGAACACCCGAAGAGATAGATGCAGGTGCTGGAAAGAGCCCTTGGCATGGCCTGGACTGCCAACAGCAGCTGTAAGTGACCTCCAGAGTGGACCTGGGCATGTGGGCTTTGGCTGTCATCTGTTATTTAACTGAATGTTGCAACAGCCCATGAGGTAAGCATTACTCCATTTAAGAGCCAAGTAACTGACGCCCAAGCAATTTCAAAGCTCTGCTACCAGACATACTCTAACAGTAGAAAGTCTGATTTTTAAAAATGACCTAGTTTACAGAGTCCAGGGTTTTAAAAGTTTCTTCCAAAACCTCAACCTGCATCCTGTTTTCAGAGTTGTTACTACAGTTGCTTATTAATCAAGATTAATAAAGACCATGGCAGTTATTATCTGATAGTCACAGCTGTTGAGAATCTTAGGAAATAGACACATGGGTGAGAAATACCAGAGCTTGATGCTTGATTGGCATTAGCCTTATGGGGCTCATGAGATAGTGACCATGGTGCTTGCAAAGCATTTCTTGCTGAAAAAGGGAAGCTACAGCTTAATGCTGGGGCTACTTCATGCCCGACCATGACCAGGATCTGTCAGGCAGTACTCTCTGAAGCCAGTCTCCTAATTTTTCAGACATCACAAATGCGACTTTTTTTTATAGTTGTGAAAGCCCCCAAAACATCAATTCTCACAAATCGAGGACTGGCTGGGGCCCTGGCTTCTGACCCTTTGCTCTCCAGGGACCATGAAAATTATTTGGCTTAGATGTGTGGTGATGAGGCAATGGAATAAATGCAGCTTTCCATTTTGCTGCAGAGTAACATGAAGAAGCCGGTTGACAAGCAACTCTCTGGCCAGTTCTGTGGCCTTGGGCAAATCGCTTAACCTCTCTGGGATCCAGCTGTTTGTATGTGAAATGAAAGTGTTTGGTTAATCAAGCAGCTAATCTGGGGCACTTGTGCTGCCACTCCTCTCTCCCTGCCCACGGCATAGGGTACTATTATGGCACTTTCCCTCCAAGCTAGATGTTGGCCTCAGAATCCTCAACACAGCAAATCAGGGAATCATCACTGAGCACTCAGAGTTGGCAGATGGGTTTGAAACCTGTCTGCCCTCCCTGGCCTGGATGATCTCTAAAGTTCCTTTAATTCTAACTTGTTGGATTCTGGGAACATGTAAACCAGGGGTCTGCAAACTACACCCAAAGGTCAAAGCTGGCCCTCTGCCTGTTTGTGTAAATAAAGTTTTATTAGAACACTGCCATTCAAAGGCCCATTCATTTATGCATTGTCTATGGCTGCTTTCATGCTACAATGGTGGAATTGGGTTGTTGTAATAGAGACCACATGGCCTGTAAAGTCTAAAATATTTTCTTTCAGGTCCTTAATAGAAAAAGTTTTGCCACCTTGTGATTAAATTTCCCTCCTTCCCTCCATCTTGTCCTCCAGGTCATGAGGGAAATTCCTCTTTGTCTCTGAGGGGCCTGTGTGGCTGAGCAATGCTCCAAGTGCCTGTGGGCCTTCTGCATCCCTAAGTCAGGAGAAGAGCAGGAGAAAAGCCAATAGGAAAATACAAGGAATGAAGACATTGTGGCAGAGATAGAGGTAGGGGGAGGCAGATGGGTGGGGAGCCGGGGTTCTCAAAGAAAAGGTCAAAGGGCACCCAGAGGAGAGGACCAAGGCATCCTTTTGTGCTGTCACTGAATGGCCACGGTGGTACTTACAGACCTCCTCCAGCCAACCTATCCTGGCATCCAGTTGGGGGCTGAGCCACCTTGTTTGGTTCTGTGCTCCAAGAACCCTGGCATGGCTGGCTGCCCGCTGGCTTCCGCCAGTAGTTTGGCATGAAAAGTGCTGGCTTGGGGCCTTTTTTCATGAAGAAAACAATTGCCTTTTCCTGGTCTGTGGACAACCACTGCTGCCTGCCTGGACATTGGCAGGAATGTTAAATTGCACCCTTGATGGCTGCCCTAGAAGCTGGGGTCTAGGAAATGTCCCTACAGCTATGTATGCTGGGCTACCATATCCATTTTCTCTCTGTGGGGTCAAAATCCAGTGCCTCAGCAATGAATCCTGCAGCGTCTTATATGAATTATTGGTGAATGTAATGAACTGTACACCCTCATCTCTTCTCCCACTTCCAGGCCCACTGAGGTCCTTTTCCAAGGTCTGTGTGCTTTGCTGTGAATGGCTCACCCCTGATACCTTCAGGGACCTGCCCTTGGGCACTGGGGCTCCCGGGCAGCCCATGGCCACAACTGGTGGTCATGTGGACAAAGGCCCAGCTCCTTTGCTGTCACCCCCACTCCAGGGTTCCCTGCAGGATTAGGCACTGGGACTTTGTCAAGCTCAGGTGCATACAATTCAGGGCAACTCCAAGCCCTGATTCAGGGGCTTTTATAATAGATTCAGACTGTTTATTACTTACACAGACAATGAAGAGTAAGCCAAAGGTACCAGTGCCCCAGGTCCTCATTCGGCATATCAGAAAGGAGGGCACCCAAACAAGAGAGGCCGAGTGACTGTCATGTGAGCTGGGGGATGCCCCTTGGCTGAGATGCCAATTCTAGACTGAGGCTGAGCAGAGGCAGGATGGGGAGCCCCATCACTCAGCAGAACCCAGAAGGGATGACAAACAGACCCACGGCGGCTCTCTAGGGGCTGGGAGGCGATGGGGAGATGGCCTGGAACTCTGCAGCCTCTGCCTCTCACCCACTTCTGATCCAGGAGGACCACGAAGCATTCCGCCAGCACTCAGCGTGTTCAATTCCTGTTGCTGCTCCAACAAACCATCACAGATTAGTGGCTTCACACAAAGTTATCTTACAGTACTGGAGGTCAGAAGTCCAAAATGGGCTTCCCTGGGCTAAAATCAGGGTGTCAGCAAGGCTGGTTCCTTCTGGAGGCTCTAGGGGAGAATCCTTTTTCTTGCCTTTTCCAGTTTCTAGAGGGCACCTGCATTCCTTGGCTAGTGGCCCCAGCAAGCACATCCCTCCAACCTTTGCTTCTGTCCTCACATCTCCCTCTCACTGCCCCTTGTGATTACATTGGGCCCATCTGGGAAATCCAGGAAAATCTCCCCATCTCAACATCTTTAATTTACTCAACATCCTTTTTGCATATAAGGTAACATATTCACAGATTCCATGGATTAAGACACAGATGTAGGGGTGCGGGGCGTTATTTCACCCACCACATTCAGATTGGCTGTGGGTCAAGCCTTCGCCTCCGTGGCCTATTTGGATACACGTGAGATCTCCAGGGCACCACAGAGGAGCCGGTCCCATGCAGACCGCAGCTGAAACAGATGCCTCTTTAACCCCTTCCCTTTCCTTGTCCTGCTTCTCTCCTGCCCAAACTGGTTTCCCTTGAGGGTGCTTCCTTCATAAACATCTGCATGGAGTCTTAGGAAGCTGCCCTGAGACAGTGGGGGACCCCATGTGCAGGAAAGTATAACTTCAGTGGCTGGTGCTTCCTCTGTGCCCCTTACCTAGGATTGCAGGCTACGAGTCCAGCTCCTCCCTTAATTACGGAGAAGCCTGGATGAAATTTCTGAGGGTTTAGGTAAGGCTGACTCTGAGGGAGGGGAGGTTGGGTGGAAATGTCCCAGACACAGAAGTGTGCAGTCTAAGGAAGACTCAGCAGGGCTTTCGGGAAGCCCCGTGTCTCTCAGAAGTGAGCCTGCCTCAGTATCTCCACCATGTTCGGTCACTGGCAGGTGCAGCCTGTGGCACAGCCTCTGTGCATATGTGGTGTCCTTACACTCCCTGAATTTGGAAGCCTCATGGCTCCTGCAGAATGGTGGGGTAAACAGGACATAGAATTTGAACTTCATCACTGGTAGGCTGGGAAACTCCTAGGAGGATTTAAGCAGAGGGATGACATGACATGGCTGGATTGACCATATTGAATGGTCACTCTGGTTGCAGAGGGGAGAATGGACGTGGTGGGGCCTGAGAGGGGGCAGGGAGGCCAGAGGGGAGGCTAAGTCATTGTCCAGGGGACAGGTGAAGGTAGTGGGCCTGTACGACTCGTGTTCTCAGGATCCCGGAAGGAATGCTTTCGGAGAGCAGAGCAGAGACCTCAGCTCAGCTGCCTGCCTCACCTCCTGGGTTCCCAAATCCCACAGGGTCTGCCGTTTCCTACCCTGCCCACCTCCTTTCCCATGTCCTTCCCCCTTGCCCATGCCCTTCATGCTTCACCCGAGGCACACCCTGCCCTGGCATTTCCCAAATCCCTCCATACTCTGCATTTCTACTCCCAGCTCTCTCCCCAAAGAACAGATTGCCCCTGTTTTCCAAAACTCTCCTGCATCACTTGTTAGAAGTGCAGATTCTGTTAGCCAGGCATGGTGGTGCGTACCTGTAGTTCCACCTACTCCAGAAGCTGAGGTGGGAGAATCACTTAGCCCAGGAGCTGGAGGCTACAGTGAGCTGTCACCGTGCCACTGCAATCTAGCCTGGGCAACAGAGTGGGACATTGTCTCTTAAAAACACACACACACACAAACCCAAAGCATGGATTCTGGAGTCCCACTGCTGATCTACTGAATCAGATACTCTGGGCAGAGGTTGCAGGAGCAGCAATTTGTGTTTTAAAAAGCCCCTCCCCCACCCCCCGCCGGGCCCAAGGGATCCTGATGCGGCTCAAGTTTGAGAACTCCTGTTGTACACACCCTGGAATCATCTGGGTAATTCTTTTAAAAATCTCATTACCTGGGTCCCAACCCAGACCAATCAAATCAGGATCTCTGGTAGGACCCGGCTTCAATGCTTTTTTGAGCTTCTCAAGTGATTCTCATGTGCAGCCAAGATTGAGAGCTGCTGTATCTGTGGTGAGTGGCCTGTGTGTGTGGCCCGCACCCAATCCATTCCACAGACATCCATCGAGCCCTGACAACATGTTCCACGTGGAGTCAGGTGGGCCATGAGAATGCAGAGATGTGTCTCCCTGGGGTTTTGGTGTGTGGACAAGGGACTGCAGCTCTGTGTGTGTTGCCATCTGTGCGGAGGGAGAAAAGGTGTGGGAGGAGAACAACACCCAAGACAGGCTTTTAAGAGAAGCCATTAAAAGTTGAGGAAGTTGGGCTGGGCGCGGTGGCTCATGACTGTAATCCCAGCACTTTGGGAGGTCCAGGCGGGCAGATTAAGAGGTCAGGAGTTTGAGACTAGCCCGACCAACATGGTGAAACCCCTTCTCTACTAAAAATACAAAAAATTAGGCAGGCATGGTGTCGTGTGCCTGTAATACCAGCTACTCAAGAGGCTGAGGCAGGAGAATCACTTGAACCCAGGAGGCGGAGGTTGCAGTGAGCTGAGATTGCACCATTGCACTCCAGCTTGGGTGACAGAGTGAGACTCCATCTAAAAAAAAAAAAAAAAATTGAGGAAGTTGCAGCTTCTGAGAGGTCGGCATCCTCATGTCCTGCCTTCCCATTTGGGAATGCAGGATGTCAGCCTGACCCTGAGTGCTTAGGATGGGTCCAGTAACTATCTGGATAACCCCAAATCGTGAACCTGAATGTGGCTCTCTGGTTCATAACCTACAATCACACTGTCCCCTGACCCCTTGCAGGCTAAGCACACTTCTAAGAGTTGGGGGTTAAGGCCTGGGAGATAACGTCAGGAATTTGCTATCATGCCCACTAGAAGGGAAGCCCCTGTGCCCTGTGCCAGTGGCAGAGAGGGGAGCATGGTGGGTGACCACTGACATCTCCAGGCTATCAGAAGGCTGCTGTGGGACTATCCTGATTTCTGGAGGCAGAGCTCAGAGTAGTCTCTTGGTCCAAGCCCCTCTATTAGAAAAGGTCATTTATATCTGGAAAAACTGTGAGGCAATGAAACTCTAGAACAAAAATTATGCGGGTCCCTGGGCGCTTGTCTTCTCCCAGTTCCTTCCTACTGTCTTCCTTTTTGCCAGGAGGCCTTTCCAGGGAGGGTGCCGGGTGGACAAATCTTGAGTGCTGAGAGCTATGATTTCGTGGGGAAGCCCAGCTGTGCATGTGGTCTTGAAAAAAGAAGTGCCTTGAGGTAGAATTCTTGTTTGGGTTTTGGCAACATCAGCCCAAATAGGATTTGCATCCTTTCTTGTAGAGGAGCTCAGAGCTGTGGTAAAATTACTCCTTCTGGCCTCCAGCTCAGATATGGGATCAGCAGGAGCTGTGGCCTGGGCTGGGAAACAGAAGCCTCCTGTTTAGTGGCCAGGCTGAGGCTTGGAGTGCTCTGATGGAAGGGGAGTTGGCAAGGGTCGGAGGCCTTTCCTGCAAATTTGGGTGGGTACCTTAGTTGGATTCCTCAAAAGCAGAGCTGAGCAAGAACTTAGATGCAGGTGGTTTATCTGGGTGGGGATCCCAGCAGGCAAGGGTGCGGTGTGGGGAGACTGAGAGGGGGAGGATGCTTCATTGAGAGGCTTCATGAGGTGGGCATGGCAGCTCCATCCACAGAGGAAGCATGTAGAATTCTCCCACTAGAAGGGTGTCACCTCCCAGAATTGTGCCTTTGTGTGGACTTTGCTGCCTCTCAAGGCTTCAGGAAAAACCCCACAATGGGAGAGCAGAGAGATGCTGCAGCACAGCTGAGAAGGGATGTGGGCCGTGCACACGCACTGACCCCCCACAGCCAGGCTGAAATCAGGGGGCGAAAGGGCCAGGGCCAGGTGACAGAGCATCAGTCACAATGGTCAGATATGCTGGTTCTTACTCAGGCCCAAGACCAAATCTCAGTGGTACCATGTGCTATCTCTGCGGCTTTGGGCAGCTTTTTTACCTTGGAAAACCTCAGTTTCCCCATCTGTAAAATGGAGTTGATAACACTGCTTCTCTCCTGGGGTTGATGTGGGAAGTTAAAGAGAACATTCAGACAGTTGTATATCTACATGCAAAAGAATAAAGCTGCACCCCTACCTCACATCATGTGCAAAAAAATTTACTCAAAATAAACCAACCATAAGACTCTTAGAAGAAAACATGGGAAATCTTTGACCTTAGATTTAGCAATAAATTCTTAGATATGACACTAAAGCACGTGTGACAAAAGAAAAGCTGGATAAATTGGGCTTCAAAATTAAACACTTTTGCGCATCAAAGGACATTCTCTAGAAATTGAAAAGACAGCTTACAACATGAGAGAGAGTATTTGCAAGTCATATTTTTGATGAGTCTGGTATTCAGAATATGTAAAGAATTCTTTTTTTTTTTCTTTTTTCCTTTGAGACAGAGTCTCTCTCACTGTGTTGCCCAGGCTGGAGTGCAGTGGCATGATCTTGGCTCACAGCAACCTCCGCCTCCCAGCTTCACGCCATTCTCCTGCCTCAGCCTCCCGAGTAGCTGGGACTACAGGCGCCTGCCACCACGCCCAGCTAATTTTTTTTTTTTGTATTTTTAGTAGAGACGAGGTTTCACCATGTTAGCCAGGTCGATCTCCTGACCTCATGATCCACCTGCCTCGGCCTCCCAAAATGCTGGGATTACAGGCATGAGCCACCATGCCCGGCCCAGAATATGTGAAGAACTCTTACAACTCAATAACAAAAGGACAAACAGCCTGATTTCGAAAAGGACTTGGGTAAACTAATCAAATAGACATTTCTCCAGAGAAGATATACAAATGGCCAGCAAGCACATGAAAAGATGCTCAAGATTATTCATTATTAGGGAAATCCAAATCAAAACCACAGTAAGTTAGCACTTCACACCCACTAAAATGATGTTTAAAAAAAATGGAAAATAACAAGTGTTAGCAAGGGTGTGGAGAAATTGGACCCTTTGTATATCGCTGGGGGGAGTATAGGTTAGGGCTGGTTGGAACCCAGCCTCATGGTTCAGCCTTAGTGGAAAATGGTTTGATGGTTCCTCAAAAATTTAAACATAAAATTATCATATGACCCAGTGATTCCACCCTTGCCTGTATACTCAAAAGAGTTGAAAACTGGTGCTCAAACAAATACACCCACATGTGTGCTTATAGCAGGACTATTCACAATAGCTAAATGGTAGAAATAGCCCAAATGTCCCTCAGTGGATGATTGGATAAACTAATTGTGGTATATCTAGAATGTTATTCAGTCATGAAAAAGAAATGAAGTGCTGATACTTGCTAACATGGATGAACCTTGAAAACACTATGCTCAGTGAAAGAAGTCAGTCACTATCATACAACTTTATTTACCAAAAAAAAAAAAAAAAAAAAAAAACAGAATAGGTAAAATCCATAAAGACAGAAGGCAGATTGGTGGGTTCCAGGGGGCTGGAAGAGGGGGGATGGGGAAGAACTGCTTTATGGGGTACAGGGTTCTAACTAGCCCTAACTTGCTGGGAAGGCACACAGAATTGCACATTTGCCAAGCCTTATGAAAATGTGAGGGGTGGGGAGGGGGCAATGTGGTGGAGTTCTGGAATGGGGGACTTTCAGAGGGCAATGAATGTCCCAGCCAGATGGAGATCACCTGCTGGGTTGGAATTCCTGAGAGAAAAAGTGGCATCTTGCACCATCCCAGGGTCCTGCATTCTTCAGAAATCAGGGGAGAGTAGAAACCAGTAGGCAGCCTTCATGTGGGCTCTTAAGGGCAATGAAAATGGATTCCTAATGCCACCACTGATGGGCATTTTACGGGGAAGAGAGAGGAGCTTCTTCCCTCTTCCTGAGCTTTCTGAGCTCCTGCTATGTGTCAGACACGGTGTTAGGCTACAGGCCCACAGAACAATACTTGTTCCTGCCCACAAGAAGTTTCCTAGAGGAGAAAAAACATAACGAAATGTGAATCCAATGTGTTCTGTGCAGTGATGGAGAGAAGCCAAGGACATTGGGTGTGGAGGGAGGCAAGCAGGTGTCAGTGAGAAGCATCGCAGGTTAAGGGAGCCTCGGTGGGGTGGGGTGGGGTGGAGGGAAGAGGCCCTGGAAGCAGGTGGAGAGTGTGGCCCCAGGAGCAGGAGGAGAAGCCCAGGAGCTGGCTGTCATGGAGGCCATGTCCAGAAGACAGGCTGGTCTCATCCTCAGGGCCACACTGGCCGCAGCTGTAGTATGGACCGTTCCTGCGCACACGGATGTCTTCCACCTTAAGCACCCCTGTGGCTCTCTGTTTTTCTGCCTCAGGAGTTAATATCCCTGGGAAGTGACATTTAACCCATGGGGTCCAGACCAATGCTCCTGCCCTGCAGCCTTTGGAGGGACAGTTCTAAGGTGCATTCTATACAGCCCCTTGGAAGGTCCCAGCAGGCTTCCAGCCCCGGGTGCCCACAGCAGTGCCCAGCCCAGTAACACACACTTTTTCCTGGGCTCGCTTTCCTGGCATCTTCCCAGGACCACCCGCTACATACACTGGTTGCATGTAGGGCTTTGTCTCAGGTCTCTGCTTTAGGAGAATACAATACAAATACAAATACACCATGAAAGTAGAGGGTTTTAAGTGAAGAGAGTGAGGGGTTGTTTCATACAGGATGGAGCAGACAGTGAGATCAGTTCTGGAAAATGGCCATTGAATTGAGTGGTGAAGAGGCCCTCAGTGGAAATTTGTTGGAGTGCTTGGGGGATGGGCAGCCCCAGAGGGCCGAGGTGCCAGTGCAGACCCAGGAGGTGTTTTGAGAACCTTAGAGGAGAAGGGGAGGAGAGGGTCCCTTCAGTATCAGATTGTCCCTTCCCCCATGTCCCCATATCAGTTCCCATCACACACTGCCTCCTACCCTCCACAGACCTCTCAAGTCTCCTTTGGGGGATGCTGTTGCTTTGCACTTTTTTTCCGGAATTTTCCACGATGAGTGTTCTAGCACCCCAGAGTCTGGCATCCTGGAGAGGCTGGGTCTCTGCCTTTCTGTTGGTGCTATGGAACCATGGGCCACGGGCCCAGCTCTGTGTTTGGAAATATTCTTGGCCCCTTTTCGAGGCCGTCTCAGACATCCACTCAGCCATCCCCAGCAGTGAAGTTTGCAGCAGCTGATGGTGGAAAAAGAGGCATAGAAAAAACAAAACTGTTTGTCCAAGGTCAGCCAGGAAGTCTGTGGTAGCCTCGAGTCTGGGATGCAGAAAACGGATCTCCCTAACTAAGCCCCAGTGTGATGATCTAAGCCCACTTGCTTTCAGACAAGGAGAAGGAAAAGGAAACTCATTCCTTTCTGTCTGCAGGGAAATCGCCTGTGGGTGCTGGCAGGGCCGGTGGAGACACCTGCGAGGAGCCAGCAGCTGCTCTGTCACGAGAGGGTGGGAAGTATCTCTGACCAGGCCTGGGCCCACTGTCAAGAGCAGACCCTGAGAACCTCTGTTCTGGGTCCCAGGGCCTCACGAATCAGCTGCAAGTTCTGGTTTTCTCCTCACCCAATGCCCATTTCAATTCCAAGTCAGGGTGGGCCATGGATTTGAAAGGATAAGGGGAAAGGGAAGAAGAGGGATGGGAGAGGAGGAGGCCTTCCACCTGGAGGACTAGTGCCAGCCTTGACACAGGGTCACACTGATTCAAGAAGGGCTGTGCTTGTGCGCGCGCGCGTGTGTGTGTGTGTGTGTGTGTGTGTAGCATGATGTAAAAAACCCACAGGACCAATAAGATACATCTTTCAGAAGTTATGAAAGTAAAATTTTATATTTTGAGTGTATAAGGAAGCAAGACATGCAGGCACATTAAGGTGTAGAAGGATAAATTAACTGTAGATTTAAAAACTTTAAAAACTACAATAGGAGATTCTTTTTTTCTTTTCTTTTTTTTTTTTTTTTTTGAGACAGAGTCTTACTCTGTCGCCCAGGCTAAAGTACAGTAATCCAATCCTGGCTTACTGCAACCTCTGCCTCCCGGGTTCAGGGGATTCTCGTGCCTCAGCCTCCTGAGTAGCTGAGATTACAAGCGTGTGCCACCACATCTGGTTAATTTTTGTATTTTTAGTAGAGATGGGATTTCACCATATTGGCTAGGCTGGTCTTGAACTTCTGATCTCAAGTGATCTGCCTGCCTCGACTGGGATTACAGGCGTGAGTCACTGCCCCTAGCCTACAGTAGGAGAGTCTAAGGAAGATTCTAAAATGCTGAGACCCCAGGCCTCTGGGGTTATGTATCAGCTGTCCTCTGCCACCAGGAAACATTAGCAAAAGCGTTTGAGAAGCACTCATCTAGTCCAGTGGTATGCTGGTAAATATTTAGCAACTAACTCTCAAAAAAAAAAAAAATTTGGATTGGTGGCATTTGCCACTTCCCATGGTATAACTGCTTCCATTATGGCCAGTTTCCACCTACCAAGGTGACATCACCGAATATGGAGCTGGGAGGAGACGCGCACAGTCTGCTGTCACAGGCTGGGGTGTGCCAGTCCAGCTTGTCATCGATTCCACCCAACCTCTGCATCCTACAGCAGGAAACACAGAAGCCCAGGGAGAGAAAATAGCCACTCCAAGGTCACTTGGGGAGCTGGTGGCAAAGTTGAGCTCCTAACTGATGCCCTACACTTTATTCCATGTTCTCATATTGTTTGTTTTATTTGCTCGGCTCTAGAATATGAACATGTGCACGTGTGTGTTTGTACCTCTTTTAGCTTTTCATTTGACCACCCCTCTGTCAGGAGGACACTTTCTCGTCTGTCCAAAGCTGGCATCTTTCTGTCTTTCAGGTCTCATTCACACATTCCCATATCATCTCCTAAAGAGGACTTCCTTGGCCTCCCTATACATCCAGTCACTCCCCATCACAGAGCCCTGTTCATTCACGGCACTTAGTGTCTAAAGTCATCTGAATTGCTTGCTTATTGCCGTCTCTTCCCTAAAGGGCAATCTCCTCCCTACCCGCCGCCAACCCCACCGTGAACAAGGAACTGTGTCGGCTTCATTGTCCTGTCAGCTCCTAGGACGGCCTGGAATCGCTTCCTTTATTTCCCAAAGATTTATTGAGCACCTATTGTATGCCAGGCACTACCTTGAAACCTGGCTCCCAGAGTGGGGCTGGGTCCCACTGCTCTGCAGAGGGATGCATTTAGAGTTTCTTTCTGTAGCTGTGTGTGGGGCTTGTATTGCACTGCCTGATTCAGGAACAGGGCAAAGCAGAGAGAAGGGGCAGAGCAGAGCGAAGGGGCAGACCTGGGATAGAGAACCGCATTTATCTGGCTGCGAAGATGCCTCGGGCGGGTTACCTGGTGTTCCAATTATCTATTGCTGTGCAGCAAATCATCCCCAAAACCTGGTGGCTTAAAACACTGCATTGTGTTATTTTATTTATTTTTCATATTATCTCTTGCTGTTCTGGAAAATATTATCTGCCACACTGAGCCTGTCAGTTTTCAGCTTCTCCATAGAATTATTGTGAGGATTATACGTATGTGTGAAAGTGTGAATTTTAAAAGATGAGCTAAAGTGACGAGCTGGTTGTCTGACATGCAGGAGGCCCCAGAGGGTGGCCATCTCCTTCCCACCCTACACACCCAAAGGCTGATAGCTTTTGCTTCCTTTTTTAACTGTTCATAAAGATCTTAGAATAAAAAAATGTTCAGGAAGTGATCGCCAAGCTTTTTTGTTAAAGTCGAGTTTTACTGAGGTGTAATTTACATACGGTAATTGCATAGTTCTGTGAGTTTTGACAAATGCTGACAGTCACGTAACCACTGCCACTATCAGGATAGGAAACATCCCTGTTAACACAGAACACTGCAACCCTTTGTGGTCAACCCTTAGTTCCCAGATCCTGGCAACTGCTGAGCTGCTTTCTGTCCCCACAGTTTTGTCTTTGCTAGAATGTTGTGTCGATGGAATCATATAGTATGTAGCCTTTCGGGCCTGGCATCTTTCATTTAGCATTACCCATTTTGGATTCATCCGTGTTGTTGCTGAGTAGTATTCCATGCATTCTGAACAATGCATTTATCCCAAACTTGCTTTTCAGATATGGAAAAGCAATGATATCCAGTGTGGAACCTCAAAACACAAAACAGATGAGGACTGAGATCTGGTGAGGCCAGGAGGAGTGGAGGTTGGGTGGGGAAACACAGCCCCATGTCACAGCTCCAGAAACCTCTATAAGGCATTCAGGGGATTCCTTGAAATGTAGTTTGAAGTCCCTTGGTCTAGTCACTTGTGAATAAAGCAGGCTGTTCTCCAGCCTCTCTCAAGTTTTGAGGCCTGGATGAGTTTTATTTTCCTGAAAGTTGTTTTCCATCCTAAGGAGACAGAGCTCGGTGAGTGAGGGAGTGTGAGGCAATGGAAGGACACGAGCATGGAGGTCGGGTTGCCTTGACCTAAGCATGACATGGGCAGGTTCTGGCTCCCTTTGGGTCTCTATCTCCCCATGTGCAAAATGAGGATTGCATTAAACTAGACTCATGTGGGGAACCCTAGGGATGGGGTGAGAAGTTGAGGACACTGACTCTAGACTCCCATCCCATACCTCGTTTCATCCAGCCATGAGAATGGCTCAAACTTGTCGTCTCCAGAGCCACCAACTTGTCTAGCAATGCTGGACCAGATAAAGGACAGGGATGACTAGCAAACAGAATGCAGGTGTGGTGCAGAAGTGAGAGGAGAGGCTATTTTTACCTTCTCTGACTGCTTAGAAATGAAACCACCTCTTGGTCTTGCCCACTCTGGCCAGGACAATTGGAGATCATCTTATTTATTGAGTCCAGGAGTCATAATTTGTTCATCTTGCCAATGCCCCACTACATTGCCTATGCCTGTGAGGACCACCGAGTAATACTGCCCTGTCCCCTGCACTTGGCAGAGTCTCTAACTGTTGAGTTTCTGTTCTTGGCCCTGGTCAGGGAAGTTTGTGAGTATAAAACGTAGGTGTCTGGTAAGGGTGATAGCATTCTTACTGGAATAAATAATAAATAGTGACGCTGTACAATTTAATATCCAGCAGTATCATTTTCTCTAAAGCCCAGGGACTATCAGATTTACATCCTGTTCTGTGAGAGAAGGAACATTTAACTTGATCTCAGACTTTTCTTGTTCAGATATCTTTTAAAAATACTCCCCATATCGTACATACTTGACACACTTGGGGTTGGGACTGCCTTAAACAAATTATCTTCTCTTATTGTCACCCTAATCACTGATAATAACACAATTATCATTATACTTCCAGGTTATTTAGGTAAGAAAAATGGTCCCCTCTCTCCCTGGCTCCCACCCTGCTCAGTCCATCTCCAGATTCAAGAGCTGCAGCGTGTTTAACGCCATTCAGTGGGGCTGGTCCTGACCTCCTCATGCACTAGGCTGGTGACCCACCAGGGAAGCCTGGCTTGGTGCAGCCCCCAGAATCTCTGCCACAGATGAGAGGTTTCCACTGTTGCTGAGACATCTGCCCATGCAAGACAACCCACATGACCCTTCTAGGGCCCTTCTCTGGGAAAGGCCTTTGGTCAAGTCTCATGAAGAGACATGAAGAAAGCACTTAGATGCAGCAATTCCAACAAGTGACAAAAACCCACCTGAAAAGCTGCTTTGTTTTCCCTTGGATATGTCTTAGATATTCATGCTGTCATTTAGCACTGACGGTTCCCTATGCCTGGGACACTTTCCCCCCAGATTTCAGCAGGGGTCACTCCCTCAGCTCCTTCACATCTTTGCTGAGCTTCACCTCCTCATGGGGCTGACCCTGACCCCCCTATGTAATACTGCAAACTGACCACCCTTCACTTCCAATCCCCCTTACCCTGTTCTACTTATTTTCTTATAGCATGGAGCCTTTCTAACGTACCAAAAAAAGTACTTATTCATTATGTTTATTATTTAATGTCTGTCTTTCCCTGCTGTACCATAAGCTCCACAAGGCAGGGATCTGTGTTTGGTTTATCTATCTAACTGAAATGCTGAGAGCAGTGCCTGGCAAACTGTAGGTGCTCAATAAATCATGTTAAACGAACAAATGAGCAATGGAAATGTCATCCACACAACCAGCAGGTTCAGTTGCTTGGCAGATATCAACCCAGTGACTACAACCAAGGAGGACTTAGCAAGGGGATGTTATTACTTGTAAGAAGTAAGGCGAACACCAGGGATAATTCCCAAAGCAGCATCTCCCCGAGTTGGGGGCTGGGTAAGGTTTTATAAGCATAAGGTAATGAGGTGAGATCTGATTGGATCCTGCAAAGAGGTGATGCCAGGAGGCGTGATATGACTGGATCCTGCCACGGGGTGATGCCAGAGCTTGATCTGATTGGATCCTCCATCCCAGCACTTAGGATCCCCCCTCTCCCAGGTTGCACACTGAAGTCATCTGGGCATGCTCATGTTACGTGACCTGAGGGTCCGTGGCTACTGAAAACACCTCACAACTTTGTTACATAAAAGTGAAACCAATAGGTTGGATGCAGTTCCAGAAAGAACACTGAGGTCTGAAGGGGGATGTCTGAATTTGTATCTGTCTCCTGGGGTCTTTGTCATCTTTACACGCACCATTTGGCCTCTCTGAGTCTCGGCTTCCTCCTCTGGAAAGAGGAAATCATGGTGTGCGTACTTCACAAGGTTCTGGTAGCCACGTTAAATAAGTAAAATGAAACAGGGTATGTTCCTTTCCTAGGGCTGCTGTCACGATATGCCACAAAGTGGGTGGCCTAAGACCACAGACATTTATGGTCTCGCAGCTCTGGAGACCAGAAGGACAAAATCGGGGCTCCTGCAGAGCCGTGGCCTGTGTGATGCCTGTAGGGGAGAAGCCTTTCCTGCCTCTCCCCGCACACGGTGCTTGCTGGCAATCGTGGGATTCCTTGACTGGCAGCTGCATCACTCCAATCTCTGTCTCCATCGCCACATGGCTATGTTTTTGCTGTGTCTGTATCTTCTTTTTTTTATAAGAACACCAATCATATTGCATTGAGGGCCCACCCTATTCCAGTATGACCTTTGTATGAGTCCATCTTCACACTGCTATAAAGAAATACCTGAGACTGGGTAATTTATAAAGACAAGATGTCTCATTGGCTCACAGTTCTGCAAGCTGTACAGGAAGCATGGTGGCTTCTGCTTCTGGGGAGGCCTCAGGAAACTTACAATTATAGCAGAAAGTGAAGGGGAAGCAGGCACATCTTATGTAGCCAGAGGGAAGAGAAGAAGGGGAGAGGTGCTACACACTTTTAAACAACCAGATCTCATGATAACTCATTCACTCACTATCACAAGAACAGCAGCAAAGGAATGATGCTAAACCATTCATAAGAAACCACCCCCATGATCCAGTCACCTCCCACCAGGCCCAACCTCCAACATCAGGGATTCCAATTAGACATGATATCTGGGCAGGAACACAGACCAAACCATATCAACCTTATCTCAACGAATTACATCTGCAACAACCCTATTTTCAAATAAGGTAGCATTCTGAGGTACTAGCGGTTAGCACTCCAACATATCTTTTTGGGGACCACAATTCAACACATAAAACAATGAGATAAATTTTATTTTTATTTATTTATTTTTTTTTCATTTTGTTTTTAAACAATTTTAATAAAAAATTTAAAAGTAATATCACGTTACGTGAAGTTTGAAACTAGAGAATGGAAAAGATCACCCCAAATCCCTTCATCCTGATTCAAGGTTTTTTTGTTGTTGTCTTTTTTTTTTTTTTAATTTATGTTGTTAATTTTATTTTATGGTTTTTTTTTGTTTTTGTTTTTTTTTAGTATTTATTGATCATTCTTGGGTGTTTCCCGCAGAGGGGGATTTGGCAGGGTCATAGGACAATAGTGGAGGGAAGGTCAGCAGATAAACAAGTGAACAAGGGTCTCTGGTTTTCCTAGGCAGAGGACCCTGCGGCCTTCCGCAGTGTTTGTGTCCCTGGGTACTTGAGATTAGGGAGTGGTGATGACTCTTAACCAGCATGCTGCCTTCAGAGCATCTGTTTAACAAAGCACATCTTGCACCGCCCTTAATCCATTTAACCCTGAGTGGACATAGCACAAGTTTCAGAGAGCAAGGGGTTGGGGGTAAGGTTATAGATTAACAGCATCCCAAGGCAGAAGAATTTTTCTTAGTACAGAACAAAATGGAGTCTCCCATGTCTACTTCTTTCTACACAGACACAGCAACAATCTGATTTCTCTATCTTTTCCCCACATTTCCCCCTTTTCTATTCAACAAAACCGCCATCGTCATCATGGCCCGTCCTCAATGAGCTGTTGGGTACACCTCCCACACGGGGTGGCGGCTGGGCAGAGGGGCTCCTCACTTCCCAGAAGGGGCGGCTGGGCAGAGGCGCCCCCCACCTCCCGCACGGGGCGGCTGCCGGACGGAGACGCTCCTCACTTCCCAGACGGGGCGGCTGCCGGGCGGAGGGGCTCCTCACTTTTCAGACGGGGCGGCCGGGCAGAGACGGTCCTCACCTCCCAGACGGGGTCGCGGCCAGGCAGAGACGCTCCTCACTTCCTAGACGGGATGGCGGCCGGGAAGAGGCGCTCCTCACTTCCCAGACTGGGCAGCAGGGCAGAGGGGTCCTCACATCCCAGACGATGGGCGGCAAGACAGAGACGCTCCTCACTTCCCAGACGGGGTGGCGGCCGGGCAGAGGCTGCAATCTCGGCACTTTGGGAGGCCAAGGCAGGCGGCTGGGAGGTGGAGGTTGTAGCGAGCCGAGATCACGCCACTGCACTCCAGCCTGGGCAACATTGAGCACTGAGTGAACGAGACTCTGTCTGCAATCCCGGCACCTCGGGAGGCCGAGGCTGGCAGATCACTCGCGGTTAGGAGCTGGAGACCAGCCCGGCCAACACAGCGAAACCCTGTCTCCACCAAAAAAATACGAAAACCAGTCAGGCGTGGCGGCGCGCGCCTGCAATCCCAGGCACTCGGCAGGCTGAAGCAGGAGAATCAGGCAAGGAGGTTGCAGTGAGCCGAGATGGCGGCAGTACAGTCCAGCTTGGGCTCGGCATCAGAGGGAGACCATGGAGAGAGAGGGAGAGGGAGACCGTGGGGAGAGGGAGAGGGAGAGGGAGACGGAGCTTGTTGTTGTCTTTCTTCCTTCCTTCCTTCCTCGATAAATTTTAATAATATATTTCATGTAACCCAATCTATCTGAAATATCATTTCAATGTGCAATTAATATAAAACTATTAATAAGATACTGTATCTTTTCTTCCTTCCAGGTCTTGCAGTCAGTGTGTGTTCCACCCTCACAGCACATAGCAGTTGGATTAGATTAGCTGCATTTCACATGCCCACTGCTCACATGTGTATTGGAGGGCACCGGTATCTATGGAGTTAATACAGCCATGCAAATCGGTGCAAGCTAAGACCAGTTAACAGCAGCCCAAAGAGCTACCTCAAAGTAGATGTTTCAAATATCTGACCTTAGGCACCCCTCTACTCTCCTCAGTAGTTTCTCTGCCCACCTCTTCCCCATACTTAGGGATTTCTTTTGGGGTCCAGGGCAGTGTAAATATCCGGCCAATTCAATGTGACTTGTAGTTATTTCATAGATGTCTGGAAAGCCCAACTGAAGGGTCAGCAGACCTATGACTGAACCAGGGATGCTGAGCCAGTGGGGTGAGCACAGATCCCACTCTGGTCTCCTAAGGCCTCATTCAGGGCTTGGGCCCAAATCCCATAGCCTGTGGGTGTGGGGAAGGCATCCTAGAAGGACTCATGCTTCTCAGACTCCCAGCCTCCATTGCTGGTATTCCTGGTGCCCATCTCTCATCCCCATCAGCCGTACATTCCCACCCATCCACCTCTGATGCCAAGGGACATCTTTAACTTGGGATCCCAGATGTGCCAGTTCAGACCTTGGTCCCATCTTCAAATAGAGGCTGTGGCCCCCTGGCTGTCGGAGGCTTGGATCCTCCAGCTGGGAACCTGGGAAGGTCCACCCAGGGTCCCTTATCCCTTAGACATCTCTATCAAGTCTCTCAGGGTGCCTAGTGCTTTCCAGGGCATTGCTTCATGCTTTACTGGCACCTTGTAGGACTCCTGGGCCTTCAGAGGCTGGAATGGAGGGAGGTACACGGGCTTCTGCTGCATTTCGCAAGTTTGGGCAGTGAGCTTCACTCAACCTACAGAACCCAGGGCAGAAGCCCAGCCCCCTCCAGGCACACATCGAGCCTCCGTTGAAGGTGTTGCATTTCCAACTTTAATTTCTGTGTCAGCGACTCTTTACCACGTCCCTGTGGCCTCATATTTTCCTTTATCCCCAGCATCCTGGCTGCTCCTCTCAGTTTGACAGGCACTGCCTTTCCATTCCCAAGTCCTCAGTGGCCTGTGTCCATCTGATCTCCGCCCTGTGTGTGCTGTAGAGGGTGTCCCGGCAAGGGGCCTGGGCCAAGAGACCCACATGAAGCTTGGGGCCAGATAGGGAATGGGCAAGGGAAGCCCTGCTATCGGATACAGGGCCCCAGAAGTGGTCCCTGAGGCAAGCATTCAAAGGCAAGTTGTTTATTTGTGATGTGGCCCTCAGAGATATTGATAGGAGTGAGACGAGGAAGGGAAATAGGTGTCTTAGGAAGTAGGTGTTGGGGCTCAGAAACCAATACCCCAAAATATGGCATTTTGACATGCTCAACTGAATGTTGGAAATAATGTTTAAAATTTTAAGGAAATTGAACATTTAAAACAACATGAAGAAGCTTCAAGGTCTCTCTGACCTTTCCCCTGCCCCCACTGTCTCTCTCAAAGAAGCTGAAGTCCCTTTATCTGCCTAAGACCCAGACCCACCAATGAGAACAATTGTTTTTTCCTTCCCCTCCCTCTAAGACTTGTTCATTCTCCCTAGAAATCCCTTCAGAAGCATTTCTCATTGCCCCTCCCACTTTGGCAGGATAGTATATAAGCCTCTGAGCCACCATGGGGCTGGGATCTCCTTCTGAAGGCTCTCGTGTGTATCTGTAAAATAATTTTGTCTTTTTTTTCTTTTTCTTTTTTTTCTTTTTTGAGACAGAGTCTCACACTGTTGCCCAGGCTGAAGTGCAGTGGTGTGATCTCAGCTCACTGCAGCCTCTGCCACCCGGGTTCAAGTGATCCTCTCCTGAGTAGCTGGGATTTCAGGCACACGCCACCACGCCTGGCTAATTTTTTTGTATTTTTTGTAGAAACAGGGTTCCGCCATGTTGGCCAGGCTGGTCTCAAACTCCTGGCCTCGAGTGATCAGACCACCTTACCCTCCCAAAGTGTTGGGATTACAGGCATGAGCCACAGCGCCTGGCCCCTGTTCTATTATTAATTAATCTGCCTCATGTCAGTGATTTTTCAGCAAAAAATTTTTCAGCAAGCTTTTAGGGGGCCCAGGGTTGTGGCCCCCACACAGGTTACCACTGTGGTCAAGTGGAGCTCAACTGCAAGGGAAACTCAGGGAAGCAGTGGAGCCCTCCCTCAGAATTACCCCCAAGGAGAGTGAGCTGAGGTGTTTATACACGAACTCCCATCAGCCATGGGCTGAGGGTTGTGGGGGACAGAGGTTGATTCCCCAGCCCTTCCATTGTGCCCTGGGCATGGGCAGGGCAGCCTTCTGAGGCTTCAGAGAAAGCTTTTATGTAAAAAGAGGCAGACCCCAATAGATGGAGTCTGCCACACCTGCCATAGCCACCTTCCAAGGAGCGCTACACACCCATCCATTGACCGCATGTTGGGCATATCCTCGTGTTGGACCGAGTGCTAGTGGCTGGGGCTCTGATGGTAGGCAAGACAGGCAGCCCCTGCCCTCTTGGGGCTAGATATGGCAGGAGATGAAGATACTTGCACAGGTGATTGCACAACAGCACCATGGATGCTCTGAGGAGGGTGCTAGAGGAGCACCCAGGTGGAAGCAGGGAAGGCTTCTCGGAGGAAGAGATGTTGCAGCTGAGAGGTGAAGGGTGAGCTGGGAGAAGTGATGGGCAGCTGCAGGAGTTGGCTGGTGTGTTGGGAAGAGTACTGTTCCTGGTAGGGGAAATGATCTATGCAAAGGTGAGAGAGATCCCACGTGACCTATTTAGGGACCTGAAGTGGATTCTATAGGGGAGAGTGAGGTGTGGAAAAGAGGAAGGGTGGTGACAGAGGAGGCTGCAGTCAGCTCTGGAGAGGTCCTGTAAACCCTATTGAGGCATTGAGATTTTTAGCCTGAGGACAAAGGTAAGAAGTTGAAGAATCCATCACGCGAGTGGCGTCCCCAGATTCGTGTGTTGGAAAGATCTCTCTAATGGCCGTGTAGACACTAAGGTTGGGGGGATGGGTGCAACAGGTGTAGTGGGGAGACCCAGCAGGGGCTGGAGGTGATGGTGGCTTGGATTGGGGATGGTAGCAGAGGATGGAGAAAAAACGACCTTTGCCTCTCGATGGCATTTAGGGGATCCCTAATAGGGCGAGAAAAGCAGGCAGCTCTGGGCTACCTCTTCCCCTTTTCCAGCCTTTACTTTTATCTTTTTTTTTTTTTTTTTTTGAGACAGAGTCTCGCTCTGTCGTCAGGCTGGAGTGCAGTGGCGTGATCTTGGCTCACTGCAACCTCTGCCTCCCGGGTTCAAGCGATTCTCCTGCCTCAGCCTCCTGAGTAGCTGGGATTACAGGCGCACACCACCACGCCCAGCTAATTTTTGTATTTCTAGTAGATACGGGGTTTCACCTTATTGGCCAGGATGGACTCAATCTCTTGACTTCGTGATCCGGCTGCCTCGGCCTCCCAAAGTGTACTTTTATGTTTTCACTTCTCAACTTGTTGACTTCTTTATTGGCATATAACTTAGAGTAAAGGGCATGAATTATAAGCGGGCAGCTTGCTGGTTTTCTGCGTATTTTCAGCTTCCAGCAGGGTCTCTCGCACTGCCCCCTAAACTAGCCATTGTTCTGACCTTTGTCATCATGGGGCAGTCTTGCCTGTCCTTGACCTTCAAACAAAGGAATCCCACAGCAAGCTTCCAGAGGTTCCTCCATGCTGCTGTGTGTGGCGGTAGTTTATACTTTTTCTCATTGTGTTGTGTTCCATTGTATGAACACACACACATAATTTATATCTCCTCCTGCTGATGGATATTTGGGTTGTTTCCTGTTTGGGGGCATGATGAGCAGTGCTCCTATGTGTATTCTCGTACATGTCTTAGGAAGCTTCTATGCAGCACAAGCACTGGTTTCTGGTAGACATATACCTAGGAAGAGAATTTCCAGGCTTCATTTCTAGGAAGTTCTCTTTCACCTTCCCCCATTCTTAGGCAATAGGGAAGGTTTAGGGGCAGTGGGGGATAGGCCATCCTTACGCTGAATGTGGTCGCACAGTTGGACAGTTGCCCACTTACCGGGCACAGGGTCTGTCCACAGCCGAGGTGCCCACTCGCTGTTCGTAAGTGGACACAGGCATTCCACTGAACTGGAAATAGCACGCTCTTGTTATTTTTAAGGCTTACCTTCTTTTTGGTTTTTCCTTTTTTCTTTTTTGGGTAACAGTCTTGAAAGAGACTCTTACAGGGAAAATAACAGAAAGCAAAGACTTCTGTATTTGATTCATAAAATGATTTCTCCAGGGATGAATCCACCGAAACCTCCTAATTCAATGTCACTCAGAGGAGTCCATGGACATTTGTGTCCAAGAATATTAATAGCAGTAACTTAAAAAAAAAGCTTCTTCCATCAGGGAAGTTTGGGAGACACCCAACTGAACAAAGTGAGTTAGGTTTTCTTACTCAGGACTTGTTGGAGCCTCGGTCAGTCTCCAAGAGGCCCCCTAGAAGCCACTTTCTCTCGGCACAGCGTTTTGTGGGCTGGAGAACCCACACTGGGAAAGCCTGTGAGGAGGAATATTTTTGAAGTATTCTTGGAACATGTATTATTGTTTTAGTCTCTGGGGCCTATTTCCTCCAAACCTGAGCCTGCAGTGGAGGTTGAGCCGGCAGGGCATCATTCTCGGCATGAGCCATGCAGCCCTGGGTCCCTTTTTGCATTTGGCTCCACCTGATTCCGAGCATGGGGCTGACTGATCCAAGTTCAGAGAAACTAAGTTCATACAAAACCAGGCCTCAGAGGAGTTCCCAGGAGCTCCTGGGCACCCAGACCCATCTACAAACGGTGGAGGAGCTTCGTCCCTACACTTGCTGGTCCTTCCAGCTCCTCCCCCAGATATCTCCAGAGCCACTGCCTCCCCTCCTCAGGCCTTGACCTTCTCTGTGAGGATTCCGCTGACCACCTTGAAGTCACAGCCTTGCCCCCACCCCCAGCACTTCGTATTCACTTTTCCTGCTGTTTCCCCTCCTGAGCCCTTACCTAGATTTAACATACTCCATCTACTTATTTATTTATTTACTTGAGACAGGGTCTCACTCTGTCACCCAGGCTGGCATGCAGTGGCATGATCATGGCTCACTGCAGCCTGGACCTCCCAGGCTCAGGTGATCCTCCCACCTCAGCCTCCTGAGTGGCTAGGACTACAGGTGCCCACCATCACGCCCAGCTATGTTTTGTATTTTTTGTAGAGATGGGGTTTTGCCATGTTGCCCAGGCCGGTCTTGAACTCCTGGGCTCAAGACATCCACCTGCCTTGGCCTCCCAAAGTGCTGGGATTACAGGCGTGAGCCACCGTGCCCGGCCTCCATCTATTTACTTAACTTGTTGATTGCCCCCTCCTCCTCCAGCTAGAAGGCAAGCTAGAAGGCAGGAAGGGCAGGGTTATTATCCGTCTTGCTCTGCCATACCCCAGAGCCTGGAACACTGTGCGGCAAACAGTCGGTGCTCAGCAGATGCGTCCAGAGTGAATGAAGTGTGTCCACTGTGCTCTTGTGAGAATGCTTTCTTCTAATTTGTGATGTTTCTGCCTAAAGAAGGTCAAGTTGCCAGCCTGACTTTGGTAGATGGGAACCACTGGTGAGAACTCCACCTGCTTCCCTCAAGACGGACCTATCTGTTATGTATTCTGAGGCAGGCACTTTGCTGGGGGCGCACACAGGATTCCAAAACCCACTGTGAAAATGCACACCCCAGGGAGTGCATTCAGACTGGAAAGCAGGCTCTTTTATCTTTCTTTTTATTGATATTGCATTTGAAAAATACATACATACAATCAATAAAATACACAAAGTGAGGTTTCTTTCTCACCTCGAACCCCTACATTCCACTTCTCCTCTCCAGAAGCAACCTTTGTTAGTTTCTTTTTTAGCTTTCCTGAGGTATTTCATGCATTTATAAGCATTTTTTTCTTTTTTCACAGGTGATAACACACCATACATGCTCTTCAGCATGTGACTTCTTTCACTTAACAATATGTCTGGGAGGCACCTCCACCTCAGAGCATAAAGAGCTCTCTTTGAAAAGGCCACAGAATATTCCATTAGGTGGATGTACAGGACTTAACCTGCTATTGTCCATCGGCACGAAGGTTGAATCCAGTTTTTTGTCTATTACAAGCAATGACATGTGTATACTTTTGAAAGGAGGGAAAGAAAGGAAGGAAGGAGGGAAGGCAAAGAGAAGGGAAGAAAGACAGGAAGGAAGAAAGAGAAAAAGAAGGAAGGAAGGGAAAGAAAAAAAAAGAAAGAAAAGGGAGGAGGAAGGGAGGGAGGGAAAGCAAGCCACCAACGTGGTTCAGAATTTGACAAATATTTATTGGCACATATTTTAAGTGCCAGGCCTATTGTTAAACTCTAGGAAGCTCCTGCCCTTGGAGCCAGTCTAACAGTGAATCTCAAAGTCCTGTCGCTTTTTTCTCTTCAGAGAAATTCCTCATGGCTTCTCCTGGGGAGGGGAGCGGCGAAGGGGAAAGTAGGGAAGAGGCTCTGCTTAGCTTTGAACTGCACTCAGGGCACGGTTGTATGTGGACGCACTCAACCACAAGCACGGTGGCCGACTCTCACAAATGTACATTCGGGCAGCCTGAGGGTTATGAGTTTGTCATGATATATTTAGAGCGAGCAAGAGCCCTTTAGTGGTGCCCCGAGCCAGAGAGTAAATAGCTGCTTACACGGGCATTTAAAGCCAACATAGAAAGAGGCTGTAATTGCAGTGCTCAGGAAATGCCATACTTGAGAGCTTTTCTAAAATGACATGCTATTTGACCCAATATTTTCCAGAATGCAGAGGCTTCTTTGATCTTTGCAGCACGGCGCCCTTGCACAATGACTGGGTCACAGCAGCACTCCGGATGAACATGCCCCGCCGGGGGTAGAGCTGGTAACTGGGAGGACTTGGGCTGAGAGCTGGTGGACCAGATCTTGGGTTGAATTCTCCCAGAAGTAGAGAAAGATGGAGTTCAGAAGATTGTTTGGAAACGCATTTCTGGAAGCCCCCCTGGGGAGCGGGGAAGGGAGACAAACCTGTTCAGAGTATTGATGGGTAGTTAGCACCGTGGACAAGCAGAACTCAACACTGTAGGGGCCTTGGGAGATGGCAGGGACATGCTTCACAGCAGCCCACCTGAGGGGCAAGGAAGCTGGAGTATTTATCCCACCAACATCCATTCCTCATTGGCCAGAGGTGTCTTGGGAGGGAGTAGGGGGTTGAGTCTC